>NC_000006.12:98252608-98404123 GCF_000001405.40 Homo sapiens | reverse complement strand
TGGACCTCATCCAAATTGTTGAAGGCCTGAATAGAATAAAACGATTCTTTCTGCTTGACTGTCTTCTAGCTGGGACATTAGTCTTCTCCTGCCTTTAGACTTGGACTGAAACTTATACTATCAGCTCTTTCTGACTACAGATCTTGGACTTCCCAGGTTTTTTAACTGTGTGCACCAATTCCTTATAGTGAGTGTGTGTGAGTGTATCTCCTATTGAGTCTGTTTCTCTGGAGAACCTAGATTAATACAAGTAAGTGTCTAGGGGAAGACTGAAAATTTACAAAATCCCTTTGAGGATGATTTAAAAAATGATCAGACACATTGTTGATATGTCAATATGTTTTTAAGCATTTTGTTGTTCTTTCTAAAAATTATTCTATACCTAAATGGTAATAATTTTGAAAAGTAGTTACTGGTATATTATATTTTTCTCATTGTCTTAAATAATTACTTTGAGAATTTATATAGTCTAATAGCTTCATAGTGTTTTTATTTGAAGTAGTTTTATCATGTGATCCTTACATAAAGTAAGTTTAAAGTTTCTAAGTTTTTGACTAAAGGTTTTTTTTTTTTTTATTATACTTTAAGTTTTAGGGTACATGTGCACAACGTGCAGGTTAGTTACATATGTATACATATGACTAAAGGTTTTTATTTAACTTTAATGTCTTCTTTGATAAAACAGCCTTGAAGTGTTCTAGAACGGAATGGAGTAAACTTCTTCCAATTTGTTTCTGTGAATTTTATCCTTATTTGAAAATCCTAAATTTCTTCCCCCAGGTTCTACTTTAATTGGGCACTTACAAAGTAATTCTTCAATCAGTGTCTCTAATGTCTCACTGCTTCCCAACAAATCTACGAAGACAGAACAAAAGATGCAACTTACAGAAACACAGAAAATTAAGACTGTCAGAGGACATAGTGCTTGATTCGGAGGTGGTTGGGAGAGAGATTTTCACTGAATAGCAGAATAATGGAAGATAATGATAAAAATAATTAATGGTCTTCTCCAATCTCTTTCCCTACAACAGAGGAGTCATGTTTCCTTAAAAACAACAAGGAGACATCTCATTGAAACCTCACTGAATGCCCACAATCTAGAAACACCAGGTCAGAACCTAAGAGAACACTAGGCTGTCATCCTTATGTAAAAGTGTTGCTTCTTAAGGTACCAAGGCTCACTTATCCTCCACCTTCCCCTGACACCTCTTCCAACCCCACCACACACAAGTATGTACATCTGAATTGAGAACACAAGCGGGTGGTACAGGGTTGAACAGGGGGAGTTACATCTTAGAAAACATCATCCTCCAGGTGTGGAACCATAAATGGACTATAGGCAGAAGCTCCTATAGTATAGTATTCCCCTTGTATTTCATCTGCAGGGTGTTGATGATACAGATAATGGAGTTGGAAAATGGCTCCATTTCAGTCCAGAGACATGAAGCCGATAAACTTTGGTTAGACACTGATGTATGGCTAAGACTCACAGATATTTGATACTCTTTCATCTATAGTGATATAAAAAGGTGATTCCGTTAGCACCTGGTAGAGAGTGAGCAGCATCAAATGAAATTGATACATTTTCTGATGGTAAACACTGAATCTGGATGCCTTTGACTTAGGAATAGCAAAGAGGAAAAAATGAAAACAACACAAGGTCTAGTAAGGAAAGATAAAGAGAACATTATACTGAGGCCCAAGAAGAATCTGAAAATGATTTATTACAGAAATCTGAGCTCACATAAGAAAACTATATGCGAGTATTAAGCACTAAGACATGGCTTCTAGGAAGCTTTTGAACCTCAACCAGAGAATTTAGCCAAGAAAAGTCAGGTGTTTTAGTAATAGACATAGAAATGTGTATGTGTGTGTTGTAGTGTATGTTATGCATGCAACTACGTATATACGCATCTTAATGTATAGAGTGATATTTATATATGTGGATAGACAGGGAGATAAATAAGTAGGTAGGTAGGTAGATATAAATAGATAACTCAAAAGGAAATCCCATAAGATTTATTTTGATCTCATTTGTTGGTAAAAACGCCTTCAATAGCACTCACCACTCATTCCTAATTTTTAAAAATTAATTCCTACCAAATTATGAATTGATAACATACCTTAAAAATTACTTTTAAAACTATTGAATATTATATTTACAAAAAACAGTATTTGCTAATACCCTCACTAATTAACACAGGCTTTGACTTCTTGCCAAGGCAATAAAATATAATACTGAAATAAGAGAAGGCAAATTTTTGTTATTATTTGCAGACAATATGACTATTTAAATAGAGAACTCAAGAGAATAATCGGCAAAAGTCTGAGAATTAATATTAAAGTTCATTACAGTGATTGGATACAAATTAAATGGCAAAAGTTGATAGTTTTTCTGTACAGCAGCAATAACCAATTAGTGTACATAATGTGAAAAGGTACTATTCACAAAATAGTAATATCTTATTAAGAAATGTACATAATCTATATGAGCAGTCTTAAAATACTTTACTAAGCAATATAAATAAAAACTTCAATATAATAAAAATAGAAACTGTATTTCCATAACGGAGCACTGGATTTTTTTTAAATATGCAAATAACTTTCAAATTAATGATAGGGTTAATAAATGTTATTTGAGATCACGATAAAATAATTCAAAGTTCATTGTGAGACTAAACATGTAAAAGTATCTATGAACATTATGGGGAAAGAAAAATAATTCACATCTTTTAATACATTAAGACAGGTGTTTAAATATGTTATGATGTTAAAACACTGTGGTTCCGGTTCATGAAATTACAGTTAGATTAATAGAACAGAATAGATAGTATTTGGACACACTATGGTACGTATAATAATTTAGGTTATGGCAAAAACAGAGGGCATGATAAACCAAAGGATTAAAAGATTTAAGTTTCTAAACAAATGGTATTGGGAGAATTAATTATTGGGTTAAAAAAAGAGACCTAATTCATAATATTTATTAAACAAATAACTTGCAAAAAGTTGTTAAAGCAAACAAATAAATGAATATACCATGAGGCTTTAAAATTTTTTTAAAGTATAGTTTTTCTTTCTTTCTGTCTTTCTTTCTCTCTCTCTCTCTTTCCTTCCTTCCTTCCTCCCTCCATCCCTCCCTCCCCCCCTCTCTTTCTCCCTTTCTCTCTCTCTCTCTCTCTCTCTCTCTCGCTCCCTCTCTCTTTCTTTTTCTCTCTTTTTTTTTTTTTTTGGAAGTCTCACTGTGTTGCCCAGGCTAGAGTTCGGTGGCACAATGTTGGCTCACAGCAAGCTATGCTTATCAGATTCAAGTGATTCTCCTGTCTCAGGCTCCCGAGTAGCTGAGACTACAGGGGTGCACTGCCAAGGCCAGCTAATTTTTGTATTTTTAGTAGAGATAGCGTTTTACCATGTTGGTCAGTCTGGTCTCAAACTTTTGACCTTGGGTGATCCACCCACCTCGGCCTCCCAAAAAGTTGGGATTAGAGGAGTTACCGCACCTGGCCTGGTTTAACTTTTTTATGTGGTCTTGGAACAGATAAATAGCTTCTATATAGGTCAACTAAAATGTATTCAGAGACACACTAACCCTACGAAATGCTTTATGAATGGAGGGTGCCATGGTCAAATATGTTTTGTAAATGCCCTTTGGCACTACAATGCATATTAGCTTCCTACAAACATAAAAAATGTGAAAGAAAACCACTTAAATTTATATATCTTCATTTTCTTCAAACTTGTTAGACCATATAATTTTATTTATTTAACAAAATGTTTTAGAAGCCTAGTGTTTCATAGATTAAAATTTGGAAAAAGCTGTTCTAAGTATAAAAATAATAGCATATATAATAATGTTTAAAATTATCAATGTATTTTATTAATGATTTAGATGTTTTTTGTAAAATAACTCAGAAGTAATTAAAAGGTAATTGATAAGTTAATGAAAATATTCAAAACAAAAATAATAAAGGGATAATATTGTTACTACATATTATAGTGTTTTTTTAACACAAAATCTAGAGAAAAAAGAAATATACTGATAATAATTAAAAGACAAGAAAATTCACAGAAGAAATATGAATGGTCAATAAATATAAGACATAATTCAACCCACTGATAATAAAAGAAAGATAAGCTTAAGCATTCATTTTCCTAGTAATTGAGCAAGTATATGTATGTCATTATTAGTAACAAAATTTATAATAATACCATTATGTATGATACCTCACTATATGAGACACTATGAAAGGTACTTTAAATGAGTTCTTTAATTTATTCAAAATAAAATATAGTGCAAAATGCTAAAAATTAAGGAAGAGAAAAACTTTCAAAAATTTGGGCATTGTACTGTTATTCACTAAACTTACTGAGGGCTTTGGGTGTCCAGTGGAACGAGCGTTAAAATAATGTATACACCTTATATAGTAAAACCCTAACATTATAACATTATATTATATAACATTATATTAACATTATATTAAATAGAAAATAATAAAAACGTTCAAACAAAACTTATAAGTGAGGTTATTTAAGAAAATACTGTGTGGCAGTGATAAATTGGAATCACAAAATGTGTGTTAATAGGGAAATGACTGGATAAATCATGGTATATTCACTTTCCAGAATATTCTGTAATAATTATGTTTTCATAGAATATTGGCGAGACAAAGTGCTCATGATATAGTATCTTGTACTTAGCAGGATATTAACTTTATATACTAATTGAAAATTAATGTGTGTTTAAGTGTGTGCACTCATCTGTGTGTGTTTTGTTGCAGGGTGATGAGTTCATGTGATTTTTTTAAAGATGTTTAATTCTTAAACATTTTACATATTTTCTAAAATAAGCATGGATATTTTATGGCAGATGATAGCATTTAAAAATAAATTTCTTATTAACTTGTCATTCCCCCCTTCCCCACCTCCATTACAGGCATTAATTGCCTTCCATTTTGTCATCTTTATTTTTACATGTCTGGCTTATTCACTTTGCTACCCTTGTTCCTTGCAGGGTGGCTTACAGATTTAGGTGGTTTCAAAAACACTCACATTACTTGAAATCTATTTCAGTATTTACCAGTTAGGGCCAACAGATATTTATTTTGCAAACTGTTGTCCTCTTGTATTATGTAAGGGGTTAGGCTTGGAGAAATAAAACTTGGAAGGTATCATTAAAACAAGAAGTAGGGGAGGAGAGAGAAAATAGAAATGATGTGTTAATCCATCTAATCATTAACCAGTCGATCTAATCATTCACAGATTTGGTTAGCAAACACAATATATTTATTATATTGTTTCCTGTTAGATTTACAGATCATTGAATACATGGTCTTTGCTCATTCTAGTCTTCCATAGGTGGACAGGCAAGCTTAAGCATTAAACAAAAAGAATGAAGGTGGGACTCTGAGCTCCTGGGGAAAATAAAATTGTAACAATGGCAGCATCCAAAGTTTTGTGTAATACTAGGGACAGAGAAATTAATTTGTCTTTCTCATCAGCCATAATTTCATTTAAATAGGGGGATGGTTTCACTCTTATTGGGTCTGGGACCCATGTCTGTTTATTAGGCATTGCAGTGATGTTTTTCTTAACAGCCTTCCATCAGGTGGGATAAGTGTAGAGAATGGACAGCAGCTGGGCACCCAAGTGGTTCCTGCAGAGTCAAGAGAAACAAAGTGAGAAGAGAAAAAATAATTCCTTCCAAATCCTCTGAAGAATATATACCGAACAGATAGAGCATAGGTCCTGGAGCTAAAGCAGACTAGCACTGAAGTTGGGGTGGGGTGGGGTGGGGGAGTGGCATGCCATTTTCTGAACCTTGAAACATATATATATATATATATATATATATATATATATAATCTTTACTGAGTTATAATTCCTGTAACATGAAATTTACATCATAAAGTGTATAATTAAAAGGTTGTATTGTATTCACAGAGTTGTGCAACCATCACCAAATTCTAAGTTTAGAACATTTTCTTTGTTGAGAACTTTTTAAAAAACAAGTTTATGGGAATAATTTTTAGAATCAAATTCTTTAAATATTTGCCACATGTACTAATCAAAATCAGTTTGGTAAATAGTGTTTTCAGTACATTAGCAAAAAAAAAAGCAATCTCTGTTCCTTTTCATGTTTCCTCAACATTTGTGAGAGTATGACTTAATTATATATTTTCATACCATAGTGTTAAGTGAACTGCTCACTATTGTTTCAAATCTTGTCCCCTCAGTTGGTAAGATCCTAGGACTGGGAATTTACAAATATTTACACATGAAAACAAGGTCATTGATCTTCCAAAGAGAAAAAAAAAGGGGGGGGGGAGATTTTCCTAAAATTTGTGCTATTTTCCACATTGTGCTTCTAACTCTGCAAAACATTGGTTAGAAACTGCATGCCAAGGCGGGCAGATCACTTGAAGCCAAGAGTTCGAGACCAGCCTGGCCAACAGAGTAAACCCTGTTTCTACCAAAAATACAAAAAATTAGCCAGGTGTGGTGGTGTGCACCTGTAGTTCCAGCTACTCAGGAGGCTGAGGCACCAGAATCGCTTGAACCCAGGTGGCTGAGGTTAAAGCGGGCCAAGATTGTGCCACTGCACTACAGCCTGGGCCACAGAGTGAGACCCTATCTCAAACAAACAAAACTAAAACAAAAACTGCATGACTTTTAAAGGTAAGCAGCAAATCCTCCAAAAATACACAATCTCTCAGGTCATTGCTTTCAGGCTGAGAATCATTTCTTTGGCAACATTCTATATCTTGAGCAATAATTTTGGGATTGAGGAAAATTATGGAGAGAGTTAACTAGCAGAAAGATATAAAATCTACATTTTTCTCACATAATATAGGATTTTGAAATTGCTAACAATTATTACTGATCAGAAATGAGAAGCTTGTCATAATATGAAATGAAGCCTATTGATATGATTTGCAACTTTAATATAAAGCAAAAGCGAATCTCAATGCTTTGAGATGACACTGACTGTAAAGCCCCTCATCATCTCATCATTCAGTAAAGGCATTCTATGGGGATAATTGTGGAGACTGAGAATGAATGAGAGAAATAAACTCGGAACAGGTTATTGTTGTTTTCTGAAGGCAGGTATAATTTCAATTTATAAGAAAATCAATGTTAACTGAATGATGAGTTTATCTTCTTTTCAAAAGGGATAATATTTAGTATTAAACCTTCATTGTTTTAATTCAAATAATGCTGGTCCCCTGATCTTTTATGCAGAAAGGACTGAATCCCTAAACCTTAATTCAAGTGTTGCTATGTATTCCCAGTAGTCTTAGGCAAAGATATTCAACCTCCATGCCTCATTTTCTCCATCTGTAGAATGGCAGTAATGATGCTTACCTGCCTTTCAGGAGTGTTACGAGGCTTCATTAGTTGTTTGTAAAGTACTCTGTAGATGAAGAACTCAGCATAAACGCTAAGTACCATTATTATTATGGCAGTCTTATGTTCTGTGCATCATTGCATTTTTGTTTTTTCAAAATATTGCAATTTTCCATCTGTCATTTGTAACACATCAAACAAAAGCTAAATTCTCAAATTTTCTCCCATTACCCTGCTTAGAAATCTATATAAGTAAAAGTCTCCAGGCAGTATGCACAGTCCCCAAGTGCTTCAGGGCAGTCTCACAAAACTCACTGTCACCAAGCAACAATGTTACACAGCCCATGTATAACTATTTTCAGAAATGCTCATCGTCCTGCAAATATTAAGATAGTGAAAATAAATGAAAATCAGTAATGGCTTGGTCTTTGAATATTATCAGGGCTGCACTTTGATTTCACAGTAGTGAAAAGCCATTTGAGGTGTTGGTTGGTTTTGCCTCCTTTTCCTCCTCACTTCCTCTCTCCCTTGCCTTCTACTTTCCTTGTCCTGCCTTCATTCTTTTAAAAATATTGTCAAACAAAGCAATTTAACATGGACTAAATCAGAATTTATAAATACTTTTTTTAAAATTTTATATGTAGGTGATGGCTCACTGTGGCTACTTGTTTTGTGTGTGTTGTTTTTTTTTTTAAAAACAAGTTTTTCCAATCTCATTTCCCTTCTGTTTGGGCCTACTTCAATATAGCCAACATTAAATGGTGAGCAACAAATAAAGACACATTACAGCAGGTCTAAGCACAATTGTCTCCCCAATCCATGTACTTGATAAATGCCCTGTTTAAGCTAAAAAAGATGTATGACGTTTCCCTTATACTAAATTTAGTGGTGAAAAATCTTTAATAACTAAAACTGACTATAATTTCCTTCTTTCAACTGTTCTATTTCAAGGTCTCATAAATCCTTTTTATTGATTAGTTTTACACAGAATGCTGTAGAGCTCTAAACACAAGAAATTAAACTGAATGGCAGGTGGATTTTTTTCATGGTCTTTTCAGCTAACCCAGCAAAAATGAATTTTAATGTAATGGTTGACTTTGTGAATATTTCTTCCTTTTTATTATTTTTAAAGTTTCTGCTAATGTGTGTAATTTTATGTCACATACTTTTATTCTGAACTTATAGAAAAGGATAACAACAACTTAAAATACTGCCCCAATATTTTATTTTTGCTTCTTTGAAGTGTATCATCTGAATTCACATGTTGATATACATTATCTCTTAAGAAGAAATAATGAAATTTCTCATCAAAATGATTGGCATATAATTATGAAACTGGCTTCTGAATGGAATGTCAAGAAAATCTCCTGCATGGAAGTTAGGAAATAGATTTTTCACCTCTCTTGTATATGGAAAAAACACACCAGCCTTAGATTTAGGTAATTAATACAGTCTTCCAATTTGAATATTTGAATGGGAAAAACAGTTTATACTAAAAAAATGCACAATATGGCACAAATAGTTAAAAGATTTTAATGCATTAAAAAGGATTACAGATGTTTGGAGGCAATTCACAGCTTCTGCATACTGTGTTTACAAATTCTGTTTTCTCTGAAGAGGAGATGGGTTTTCATAAGAGGAAAAAGAATAGGAGTAGCACCCCTGAGGTCTTTCCTTTAGTTTTTGGGTATTTGCTTTTCTTAAGTCACTCTATTAGGAAGCTTCTAGCTCCAAAACACAACTGTGGTACCCAGAGTATGAAGATAAGAGGTGTTAGAGATCTCATATCTCATAGTTAAGGTGATACCTCTTGGGGAAGACTTGTGTGGAACCAGTGGTAACTCTGAGTACAGAATGGACAATAGCTGCCTTCTTTGGTTAAGAAGATCAGAGTAAATAATGACTGTGAGATGCCTGGAGTTCACTTATTCTGAGATCATGTGATTCAAACTAGTAAATCACAAGGAACTTACGTTTAGGGAGAGAATAAAAGGGAATTCAAATCCTGAGAAGCAGATAGAGAAGAGGAATGAGAAGTGGGTCCTGCTTATCCTAATTCAGCAATTATAAAATATAGAAGACTCAGTCTAGGACAGAAAGATGAAACATATTTAAAGCAAAAGAATTTTTATCAAAGGCCTTTTCTGCATCTATTGAGATAATCATGTGGTTTTTGTCTTTGGTTCTGTTTATATGCTGGATTACATTTATTGATTTGCGTATATTGAACCAGCCTTGCATCCCAGGGATGAAGCCCACTTGATCATGGTGGATAAGCTTTTTGATGTGCTGCTGGATTCGGTTTGCCAGTATTTTATTGAGGATTTTTGCATCAATGTTCATCAAGGATATTGGTCTAAAACTCTCTTTTTTGGTTGTGTCTCTGCCCAGCTTTGGTATCAGGATGATGCTGGCCTCATAAAATGAGTTAGGGAGGATTCCCTCTTTTTCTATTGATTGGAATAGTTTCAGAAGGAATGGTACTAGTTCCTCCTTGTACCTCTGGTAGAATTCGGCTGTGAATCCATCTGGTCCTGGACTCTTTTTGGTTGGTAAGTTATTGATTATTGCCACAATTTCAGAGCCTGTTATGGGTCTATTCAGAGATTCAACTTCTTCCTGGTTTAGTCTTGGGAGGGTGTATGTGTCAAGGAATTTATCCATTTCTTCTAGATTTTATAGTTTATTTGCGTAGAGGCGTTTGTAGTATTCTCTGATGGTAGTTTGTATTTCTGTGGGATCAGTGGTGATATCCCCTTTATCATTTTTTATTCCGTCCATTTGATTCTTCTCTCTTTTCTTCTTTATTAGTCTTGCTAGCGGTCTATCAAGTTTGTTGATCCTTTCAAAAAACCAGCTCCTGGATTCATTAATTTTTTGAAGGGTTTTTTGTGTCTCTATTTCCTTCAGTTCTGCTCTGATTTTAGTTATTTCTTGCCTTCTGCTAGCTTTTGAATGTGTTTACTCTTGCTTTTCTAGTTCTTTTAATTGTGATGTTAGGGTGTCAATTTTGGATCTTTCCTGCTTTCTCTTGTGGGAATTTAGTGCTATAAATTTCCCTCTACATACTGCTTTGAATGTGTCCCAGAGATTCTGGTATGTTGTGTCTTTGTTCTCGTTGGTTTCAAAGAACATCTTTATTTCTGCCTTCATTTCATTATGTACCCAGTAGTCATTCAGGAGCAGGTTGTTCAGTTTCCATGTAGTTGAGCGGTTTTGAGTGAGTTTCTTAATCCTGAGTTCTAGTTTGATTGCACTGTGGTCTGAGAGACAGTTTGTTATAATTTCTGTTCTTTTACATTTGCTGAGGAGAGCTTTACTTCCAACTATGTGGTCAATTTTGGAATAGGTGTGGTGTGGTGCTGAAAAAAATGTATCTTCTGTTGATTTGGGGTGGAGAGTTCTGTAGATGTCTATTAGGTCTGCTTGTTGTAGAGCTGAGTTCAATTCCTGGGTATCCTTGTTGACTTTCTGTCTCATTGATCTGTCTAATGTTGACAGTGGGGTGTTAAAGTCTCCCATTATTATTGTGTGGGAGTCTAAGTATATTTTAGGTCACTCAGGACTTGCTTTATGAATCTGGGTGCTCCTGTATAGGGTGCATATATATTTAGGATAGATAGCTCTTCTTGTTGAATTGATCCCTTTACCATTATGTAATGGCCTTCTTTGTCTCTTTTGATCTTTGTTGGTTTAAAGTCTGTTTTATCAGAGACTAGGATTGCAACCCCTGCCTTTTTTTGTTTTCCATTTGCTTGGTAGATCTTCCTCCATCCTTTTATTTTGAGCCTATGTGTGTCTCTGCACGTGAGATGGGTTTCCTGAATACAGCACACTGATGGGTCTGGACTTTTTATCCAATTTGCCAGTCTGTGTCTTTTAATTGGAGCATTTAGTCCATTTACATTTAAATTTAATATTGTTATGTGTGAATTTGATCCTGTCATTATGATGTTAGCTGGTTATTTTGCTCGTTAGTTGATGCAGTTTCTTCCTAGCCTCAATGGTCTTTACAATTTGGCATGATTTTGCAGTGGCTGGTACTGGTTGTTCCTTTCCGTGTTTAGTGCTTCCTTCAGGAGCTCTTTTAGGGCAGGCCTGGTGGTGACAAAATCTCTCAGCATTTGCTTGTCTGTAAAGTATTTTATTTCTCCTTCACTTATGAAGCTTAGTTTGGCTGGATATGAAATTCTGGATTGAAAATTCTTTTCTTTAAGAATGTTGAATATTGGCCCCCACTCTCTTCTGGCTTGTAGAGTTTCTGCTGAGAGATCCACTGTTAGTCTGATGGGCTTCCCTTTGAGGGTAACCCGACCTTTCTCTCTGGCTGCCCTTAACATTTTTTCCTTCATTTCAACTTTGGTGAATCTGACAATTATGTGTCTTGGAGTTGCTCTTCTCGAGGAGTATCTTTGTGGCGTTCTCTGTATTTCCTGAATCTGAATGTTGGCCTGCCTTGCTAGATTGGGGAAGTTCTCCTGGATAATATCCTGCAGCATGTTTTCCAACTTGGTTCCATTCTCTCTGTCACTTTCAGGTACAGCAATCAGACGTAGATTTGGTCTTTTCACATAGTCCCATATTTCTTGGAAGCTTTGTTCGTTTCTTTTTATTCTTTTTTCTCTAAACTTCCCTTCTTGCTTCATGTCATTTATTTCATCTTCCATCACTGATACCCTTTCTTTCAGTTGATCCTATTGGCTCCTGAGGCTTCTGCATTCTTCACGTAGTTCTCGAGCCTTGGCTTTCAGCTCCATCAGCTCCTTTAAGCACTTCTCTGTATTGGTTATTCTAGTTATACATTCGTCTAAATTTTTTTCAAAGTTTTTAACTTCTTTGCCTTTGGTTTGAATTTCCTCCTGTAGCTCGGAGTAGTTTGATCTTCTGAAGCCTTCTTCTCTCAACTCGTCAAAGTCGTACTCCAACCAGCTTTGTTCCATTGCTGGTTAGGAACTGCGTTCTTTTGGAGGAAGAGAGGTGCTCTGCTTTTTAGAGTTTCCAGTTTTTCTGCTCTCTTTTTTTCCCCGTCTTTGTGGTTTTATCTAATTTTGGTCTTTGATGATGGTGATGTACAGATGGGTTTTTGGTGCAGACGTCCTTTCTGTTTGTTAGTTTTCCTTCTAACAGACAGGACCCTCAGCTGCAGGTCTGTTGGAGTTTGCTAGAGGTCCACTCCAGACCCTGTTTCAACAACGCTTCATGCTAAAAACTCTCAATAAATTAGGTATTGATGGGACATATCTCAAAATAATAAGAGCTATCTATGACAAACCCACAGCCAATATCATACTGAATGGGCAAAAACTGGAAGCATTCCCTTTGAAAACTGGCACAAGACACAGATGCCCTCTCTCACCACTCCTATTCAATGTAGTGTTGGAAGTTCTGGCCAGGGCAATTAGGCAGGAGAAGGAAATAAAGGGTATTCAATTAGGAAAAGAGGAAGTCAAATTGTCCCTGTTTGCAGATGACATGACTGTATATCTAGAAAACCCCATTGTCTCAGCCCAAAATCTCCTTAAGCTGATAAGCAACTTCAGCAAAGTCTCAGGATACAAAATCAATGTACAAACATCACAAGCATTCTTATACACCGATAACAGACAAAGAGAGAGCCAAATCACGAGTGAACTCCCATTCACAATTGCTTCAAAGAGAATAAAATACCTAGGAATCCAACTTACAAGGGACATGAAGGACCTCTTCAAGGAGAACTACAAACCACTGCTCAATGAAATAAAAGAGGATATAAACAAATGGAAGAACATTCCATGCTCACGGATAGGAAGAATCAATATTGTGAAAATGGCCATAATGCCCAAGGTAATTTATAGATTCAATGCCATCCCCATCAAGCTACCAATGACTTTCTTCACAGAATTGGAAAAAACTACTTTAAAGTTCATATGGAACCAAAAAAGAGCCCGCATTGCCAAGTCAATCCTAAGCCAAAAGAATAAAGCTGGAGGCATCACGCTACCTGACTTCAAACTATACTACAAGGCTACAGTAACCAAAACAGCATGGTACTGGTACCAAAACAGAGATATAGACCAACAGAACAGAACAGAGCCCTCAGAAATAATGCCACATATCTACAACTATCTGATCTTTGACAAACCTGACAAAAACAAGAAATGGGGGAAGAAATCCCTATTTAATAAATGGTGCTGGGAAAACTGGCTAGCCATATGTAGAAAGCTGAAACTGGATCCCTTCCTTCCACCTTATACAAAAATTAATTCAAGATGGATTAAAGACTTAATCATTAGACTGAAAACCATAAAAACCCTAGAAGAAAACCTAGGCATTACCATTCAGGGCATAGGCATGGGCAAGGACTTCATGTCTAAAACACCAAAAGCAATGGCAACAAAAGCCAAAATTGATAAATGGGATCTAATTAAACTAAAGAGCTTCTGCACAGCAAAAGAAACGACCATCAGAGTGAACAGGCAACCTACAAAATGGGAGAAAATTTTCGCAACCTACTCCTCTGACAAAGGGCTAATATCCAGCATCTACAATGAACTCAAACAAATTTACAAGAAAAAAACAAACAACCCCATCAAAAAGTGGGTGAAAGACATGAACAGACACTTCTCAAAAGAAGACATTTATGCAGCCAAAAAAACACATGAAAAAATGCTCACCATCACTGGCCATCAGAGAAATGCAAATCAAAACCACAATAGATACCGTCTCACACCAGGCAATCATTAAAAAGTCAGGAAACAACAGGTGCTGGAGAGGATGTGGAGACATAGGAACACTTTTACACTGTTGGTGGGACTGTAAACTAGTTGAACCATTGTGGAAGTCAGTGTGGCAATTCCTCAGGGATCTAGAACTAGAAATACCATTTGACCCATCCATCCCATTACTGGGTATATACCCAAAGGACTATAAATCATGCTGCTATAAAGACACATGCACACGTATGTTTACTGCGGCACTATTCACAATAGCAAAGACTTGGAACCAACCCAAATGTCCAACAATGATAGACTGGATTAAGAAAATGTGGCACATATACACCATGGAATACTGTGCAGCCATAAAAAATGATGAGTTCATGTCCTTTGTAGGGACATGGATGAAATTGGAAATCATCATTCTCAGTAAACTATCGCAAGGACAAAAAACCAAACACCGCATGTTCTCACTCATAGGTGGGAACTGAACAATGAGAACACATGGACTCAGGAAGGGGAACATCACACTCTGGGGACTGCTGTGGGGTGGGGGGAGTGGGGAGGGATAGCATTAGGAGATATACCTAATGCTAAATGACGAGTTGATGGGTGCAGCACACCAGCAAAGCACATGTATACATATGTAACTAACCTGCACGTTGTGCACATGTACCCTAAAACTTAAAGTATAATAATAATAAAATAAAAAGAAAAAATAGAAAAAAAAAGAATTTTTAAAATACTCAGCTAGATGAAAGAAAAATCCTAACAGCAGCGTCAAAAAAGTTAAAGAAAATGTGCTACCTTTTAAAGCAGATTAAGAAAATTAAGAGGTTTTGAGGAGACACGTTTTCTTTCAGAGTTATTGGTTCTGCTGAGAATTTGTATGGGTACATAAAGATGACATAATGGAAGCCAGCACTGCATGCCTTTGGTTCTCTCCCTTAATGGAAAGATTTGAGCCAACACTGGTAAAGTAGAAATCATATCTGTGCTGTGTTCCTTGTAACTAGTGATATACATGTGTATACTAACTGCAAAATCACATACAGGGACATCTTATTTTTTCTTTAATAATGTCTTTGCAAGAAGAAAAAAAGATTCTAAAATTATATGGAACCAACAAAGAGTTCAAATAGCCAAAGCAAGTCTAAGCAAAAGGAATGGATGTGGAGACATCATATTACCTGACTTCAAATTATACTACAAGGTTATAGTAACCAAAACAGTATGGTACTGGTATAAAAGTAGACACATATTGGATAGTCACATGTGAAATTGTGAATCCTACAGCCACAATGAAATTGGATCCCTATCTTTTATTACATACAAAGATTAACTTAAGATGAATTAAAGACTTAAATCAAGACCTGAAACCATAAAAATTCTAGAAGAAAACCTAGGAAAAACTTTTCTGGGCATTGGCCTAGGCAAAGAATTTATGACTAAGACATCAAAGGCAAAGAAAACAAAAAGGAAAATAAATAAATGGGAGATAATTAAACTAAAATGCTTCTGCACATCAAAAGGAATAATTAATGGAGTAAACAAAAAACCTACAGAATGGGAGAAAACATTTGCACACTATGCAGCTGATGCAGGAGTAATGTCCAGAATCTACAAGGAACTCTAACAAATCATCAAGAAAAAAAAAAAAACAATTCCATTAAAAAGTGGACAAATGACATGAACAGACATTTATCCAAAGAAGATATACAAACATCCAACAAACATATGAAAAAAATGTTCCACATAGATAATTATCAAGGAAATGCAAATTAAAACCACAATGAGATACCATCTTACCCCAACCAGAATGGCCATTATTAAAAAGTGAAAAAAAATACATGTTAGCATGGATATGAAAGGGAACTCTTATGCACTGCTGGTGGGAATGTAAATTAGTACAGTGTGGAGATTTCTTGAAGAACTAAAAGTAGATCTACCATTCAATCCAGCAATCTCACTACAGCGTATCTATCTGAAGGAAAGGAAGTCATTATATCAAAAAAAAACCTGCATGCATATATTTATTGCAGCATAATTCACAATTGCAAAGATATAGAATCAACCTAAGTGTCCATCAACTGATAAGTGAATAGGGAAAATGTGATTGAGATATATATATATGTATTATTATATATAATATATTATATATAATATATATAATTATATATTTATAATATATATAATATATATTATATTATATTTATATTTTATATATTATATAAATATATAATTAAATTTATATATTTAAATTTAATATATATTATATATAATAAATATATCTAATAAATATATCTAATATATAGAATATATTATTATATAATTAATAATATATAATATTATATATTATATATATATAAAATAAAATACTACTCAGCCATAAAAAGGAATGAAATGTCTTTTGCAGCAAGTTGGCTGGAACTGAAGGCCATTATCCTAAGCAAAATCACTCAGGAATAGAAAACCAAATACCACATGTTCTCACATAAGTGGGAGCTAGCTATGTGTATACAAAGTCATATAGAGTGGTATAATAGACATTGAATACTCAAAGAGGGAGGATGGAAGGCAATGAGGGATGAAAAAATCAAGCATTGGGTACAATGTACACTATTTGGCTGATAGGTACACTAAAAGCCCAGACTTCACCAATATACAATTAATCCATGTAACTAAAAACTACATGTACCCCTAAAGCTATTCAAATAAAAAATTAAAAAGAAAATGACGTCTTTGCTTCCTGAATCTCCAGTTAAATAGCTTCATCTTTACACCTTTAAAATGGAAACACTTAAGTCATTGTACCCAACAAAACATCTGATGTTGATCCAAGAACCCAGATACACTTGACCTTGAAAGACGGTGCCAATGAATCTGTTACATGGCTGCTACTCATCAAACCAGCAAAAGAGCAGGGAATAAGCTTTAATCAAGTTAACTTAGGCTTGTTACCCCCAAAAACTGTTCACAGTAAAATAACCTCAATGAGTAGATGAATGAAAGTCTTCTTAGCACTGTGCTTGATACTAACATTGTTGTCGCTATCATTACTATTATATTCTAAATAATAGTATACAAAAATAATGTTTATACTATTTTATACTATATATTATATTATGCTTAAATATGTTAAATAATATATAATATAAAAATACATTTTATAATATATCATACACTATATATTCTGTAATAATACTCTAATATATTACATATTTTATAGTACAATATAGATTCTAATATATCATATAATACATCTATATATTCTATATTATAAATATTAATATTATATAAATATATTATACATATATTATAAATGCATTATAAATATAAAATTTAGAGTATATAACATAAATATAATATATAATATGATATAATATATTTTATATGTTATGAATATAGAAGATATATAATATTAATTTATATATTATTGTATATAAATTATATATTTATGATATAATTATATAATTAGGATATTATTTTTCTTAATATATAATATTAATATAATTAATATTATATGTTAAATATATTAATTTATATATCTTCCATACATAGAAGACATGAGAGATATATCTTCTATGTATAGAATATTACATATATTCTATATATAGAATATTTATATGACATTTTTGTGAACTCAAGTGGCATATGTGAGTATTTGATTTAATTTTCAAATCTTTCAAATAAGTCAGTAGTGAGAATTGTATTTAGGTTTTATTCAGGTCCATAGTTTTGCTACTGATTATGTTGAGATTAAATGGTAAATAAAAGGTATGGACTCTGTTTTGCCCCATTGACAGAAAAATGCATATTTTCTAATCAAGCCTCCTCTTAGGAAAAAAAAATATATCTATATTTCCTCTTAGGAAAAAATATGCATAATATAATATTATAATATATATTATTATAATACATATTAACATATATATTAGTATAGATATGTTAATAATATTCCAATTTTCTTGTGTTAAACATCAAAACTTCTTATAACATTTCTTCTTCATCGCTATAAAATCTTTAAAAATGTTATGGATGATAATATTGATTAATACCAGAAAACTAAGCTGAAAATCAAGCGACACTTCCCAATTTTCAAATTAGAGTGTATGTGATCGATAGCTCCCTTTTATAATTGTCCATTACTGTATTACTGTGGGCTATCTTTGTTTTAAGAATGTTTTACTTGCTGTAGGCTAAGACTTTAAGACAATGTTTGTCAACCAGGAGTGATTTTAACCCAAGGGATATTTGGCAGTATCTATGCCATTTTTTTGTTGTCCCAACTCGGGGCTGGAGCTACTGGTATCGAGAGGGTAGGTCCAGAGATGCTAAACACCTTACAGTGTGAGCAAACAGCCCCTTATAACAAAGATTTATTTGGCTCTAAAGGTCAATAATGCTGAAGTTGAGAGTTCGTGCCCTAAAATATGAGCACTTGCCTAAGTGCTATTCAGAAAGCAAGTCAGAAAACATACACTTCGATCTAAAAGTAGAAGTCATAATAATATTAAAATATTTTAAAATATTCTTTTAAAAAATATGATCTTGAAATTTTGTCAGTAAAGAGTTCTGCCCAAGTTTTCAATGATTTTCATTGCTGCATTTAGAGAAATGATAAGGCCAGCTAGAGATCTCAGAATTTCATAAGCTGTGTATGTGTGCGTGCACTAGCTTTCCACTTTAAATTAATTAATTCATTATTTATTTTGTTTTTGATTCATTCAGTATTTTTCTAAGAGGAGGATTGACTAGAAAATATGCAATTATCTGGCAACGCATCAAAATAGAGTCCATCTATTATATTTACCTCAATCTCAACATAATCAGCAGCAAAACTATGGACTTAGATAAAACCTTAATACAATTCTCACCACTGACTTACTTGAAAGATTTGAAAAATAAATTAAATACTCGCATATGCCACTTGGGTTCACAAAAATCCCATGCATAAGAACTAAACGGCTAACCCCTTTGCTTCTCAAAGGCTCATTTAAAGCTCTTTACATATAAGGCAGCTGTACTATTGCCGACTCATTCTGACTGCACCTTTTGGCTGATTTTGAGTGTGTAAGCAATCAGCCATGTGTGCACCTTTTACAGGGAGAAGTGATTGACAAAAACTTGGAAATAATCTTTGGCTGAACTGCCCTGTTCTATGAACAAAGAGTGGCTTATCCGATCGCCTGGAAGTTACAAGCATAGGAGCTCTGTTTTGCTCTCCGTTTTACCCTGAGATAAAGAGCTTGAATTATCAGTTAGATGTTACTCTTTGCATAAAGCATGTTTTTCCTAAGAAAGGATAAATATGCATTATAAGTTGTTATTTTAGAAACACTTATCATACCCCAAAACGAGTTCTCTTGATCTCCTTCAGAGCAAAAAACAGTTTCCTGTTAGATGATTCTTACCAACAGAGCTGTTCACGTTGAGAAAGAGAGAGAGAAAAAAAAAAAGAACGGAAAAAATAACCCTTACAACTGCACAAAGGACGACTTTATAGGAGACCTTCAAACACTGAAAATCAGCCCAACGTCCTGCCGATCATTATTGAGACATCTGTATTCACTTCACACGGACCCAGGCACTAATCAGCCAGGAAGTGCAACAAGCACTGGCAGAAAGTATACAAAGATAAAGTACCAAATGGTATGAATATTAAAATCATAAATACAATAAAACAAGATAATGAGTGTCCTCAATTATAATAAAGCTAAAGCCCAATTAAAACATAATCACTGACTTATTATTCAGAATTTTTTTAGAGATCATATTTAGCTGATTTGTTACACTCATTTCCCTTTAAAAGATTTCATCATCACTTTTTTTGCATATCCACTTTTAAGAAGATTCATTTATCCATCTAATTGAATAATTAGGCTTTTTTGATTAATTGTTTTAAACAGTTTCATGTCATGGGTATCTTCCCACTGAAATGCTTTTATATTATCTTCTGTGCCTTGATGTTCCTGCTATAAATTACAAGTAATCACATCTTTTCACCTCTCCTTCTGGCACATCCAAAGAGGACTGGGTTTAGTTGGAGAGCTTCCTACTGGTTCTCTTCTCTATCCCTCACTTTCTTTTCTGGTTCTCACAGCTGCAAGTAGTTCTGAGCTTCATCATACGTGATCATTTTAAACAACTAAGCTATGAAGCAATGGTGACTCTCTACCTTCTTATGTTCATCCCTGCCAGTGCATACAAGATTCACAGCTTCAAAGGTTTCCCCAGGGGTCCTAGCCCAGCAGAAAATCCTGATTATAAGTGACGTTTGAGTGGATTTTTAGAATTAGTTTATTAACAATTATATCCAACCCAAGGCTCTTTATTAACAGTATCAAGACAGTCGTCTAGGACAGAACCCAATACTGCTGTGTTATCTTGGCATGAAAGCAATTTTTCACATGGGAAATGATCTCAAAGATTATCTAAAGGTCAGCATTGGGGGGATGATACCTCTTTCTAAGATTGGAGAGTCTAAAATCATGGAAGCCAGTCTTGGGGGCTGGGAGTGGGACTTGACTTTGTGACAGCCACCTTGCTTCTCCCTCAGGATCAGGCATTTCCATTTGAGAAATTAGACAGGCAAGTCTGTCAGCCAGGGCTTGACTGCAGCATATCTTCGACACACCTCACCCACTAATCCCACTTCTACAAAAGAAGCTGAAGTGAACCATTTCTGTTGCCTTGAATACAAACTAGGTCTTCACTTGTGCCTAAAAGTGATTTAATTGACTCATAATCATTTCAAATATTCTTTGAATATTGCTCTTTTACCAACAGATTAGTGTGTTTGTGATTGCTTCTTAAATATCAACAATTCATATGTGACAATTTTATAAATAGGGCAGTAGTAGAGTCATTTCAGCTTCTCTTATGGGCCAGTGACCGAGAAGTCTCAAATAGTATTGTACTGAGGTGAGAGCATGGTACAATGTCTGTTTTATTTTCAGGAGTATATTATGTCTGCCCAGAAGTGAAATGCAACCAGGTGAGGCCTTTTATGAATCTGGATTAGAATATCTAGTTTTGGATGAAATATAAATGAAATTGAGCTATTAACACTCCAGGAGGAGAAGAAAAAAAAAACAACAGCTCTCTTTCTCGATGTTTTATCAGTAATCATGTCATCGGGGAACAAATGGGGGAGTAGCATTATTATTAAAAAAAAAGCATTTGTGATTACAGAGTACAATTATAGCTACTTTATATATTGATTAACCTGTTTTTTAAAGGTAATAACTATGTTACCATTTGATTTCTAAGAAAAGAGCACATTTTCTTTTAAGGACTTGTAATACTGAAGATTATGGATAAGTCAAATATCAGGACAAGGTGATTACTTAACATCTGTGACCAAGGAAAAGGCTAAGGGAGAAAATCAACCAACATCTGCACTGTCAGTAAAATACTTGGGGGAAAAAAACACAAGTGAAGTGTGATTAATCACCATGGATGTATGATTGAGTCAATTGACTGTTACTTTTTCATGATGATTAATCAGCTACAAAAATTATAATTGTCCCACTTCTAGTGGCTGCATGCTGTGCCCGATGACATCAGCTGGGGCTATAGATACTCAATGTGTGGTTTTCAAAAGAATATGCAAATATGACTGGGTAAAGAGGGGTGGGGCTTCAACTCCATTGTAAGAAACACCACGAGTCTTTGCCCTTCTATTATGGTTGGAGTTTTCTTAGCAGCTTCCAGAGAGGGCAGTTCTTGTGCTATTACGACTATTTCATAACCTCATCACCACCACAAGGGAAAATTAGAGAAACCCATTTCTGCAAATTGGCCATTGTGATCTTATTCAGGAGATGATCAGATACTTGGTAATTCATTTTCTTCCTTTCCACTGATTTCTTTTGTGATTAGTACAAAATAGTGACATAAACATATGTGCAAGGAATGATACTAGCAGGGAGTGGCTGGGGTCCTGGGCTTTCAGCTTGTTTGCACATTTGGCTCCTCAGCCTATTTGTGGAGCAAGCCAAAGAAACTGGGGTTACAAATGTCCATCAGAACTTATAAAAGAACATCTGTTCATTAGCTGTGACTCTCTATAGAGAAGTGCCATCATCAGAATAGGCTTGCTTGTAGGTGTGAAAGTTTTTTTTAAAGACTACTTTCCCTAGCATTCCTAAAACTCCAAGGCAGTAATAAATCTTTGCAGCTGGCTCTGCTTACCTATTCCTCAAGGGACTACTGAGACTCACCTGATAGAGAATGAAGCACAGTGCCCATGTTTCTCTATAGGTTGGAATTTACTAGTAACACTGAGAATGTCATCATGGGGTTGAATATAGCTTTTGATCATTCTGCTTGATCAACTCATCTTTAAATGATTATCTTAAATTCATCGTTAATCAGAAAATCTTAAAGTACTAAAGTCTGACAAAATAACCTAACTGATTAATTATCCCAAAGCAACTGGGCCTTATCAGAGTAGAACTAAACGTACTGATATACTCTGCAGAAGAGCAGCACAGGGCAAAACCCTGGTCACTCCATGAATTCGCTATTTACGTTTCACTATCTTTCACCCTGAGACGCCAAACTACTTTGGAAAATGTAGCCCACTTAAGACTTGAAATTCAGACTCTTACTTAGCCTTTCAAAATGGGGTGGTTTCTTTTTAAGAAATCTTAGAGATAACATCTTTAAAGAAAAAAATCTTCCTTTACATTCATTAAATTAAAAAGAAAGGATTTCAAATATCTTCCCAGCTAGTTCTAAGCAGGCAATACCTTTCTGAGCCTTCAGCTGTATCATAAAGTCCCCACTAATGATCTGTAATGAAGTACTTCTTTTTGCACATCCAGCATTTTCCCTTTAAAGTTCAAGAAATAGCACAAGTTTGCCAACACTATTCCCCTTTTAGCACACTGACTGTACTTTTGAACCAAAGCACTAACACGACTGGAAAAAAATAGTAATTTTTCTACGTGGGTCTTGGAGTATCTACCCACTGCAATGCAATAAAACATAACCTATCAACATGTATCACCCCTAATTTATTGTATTTTAAATATAAATTATTAACAGTTCTTACATACACATGTTCTCTAAACCCATAGAGGCCTTTAATTTTATTAATATGAATCACCGAAGTCTTTCTAACTTCTTGTATTTAGATAAGAAAGAGAAACGTGGGAGCTCCAGTCTCTTGAGCTTTCTCTAGGTACCTACTAATTGTTAATTATTAGAGACTAACTAAGTCACTGAAGTGAGTCATTTGGCTGGTGTCTCAAATGCTGTCATTTACTACTACACAAATCAGCCTGGTGATAGAGTGTCTTTAA
This sequence comes from Homo sapiens, assembly GCF_000001405.40. Classification (NCBI taxonomy): domain Eukaryota; kingdom Metazoa; phylum Chordata; class Mammalia; order Primates; family Hominidae; genus Homo; species Homo sapiens. The sequence continues at coordinate 98,380,776 of NC_000006.12, read as the reverse complement.
ATTAGGTTACAACCATGCAGTTATTGGACAGGGAGTAATTGATAAAACCATTAGTAACACTTGTAGAGATAACAGCTAGCAAAATCATGCAACCATAATTATTCCTAATGGATACGTGCTATAAATTGTGGCAAGAAAAAAATCTTACATTATCTTTCAATCAAATCTGACAGTCCTGGAAGATTACCTTAGACTAAATGCTTGTGTATGAGAAAGTGACCTATCAGAATTGCTCTGCTTTTTCTTATCCTTTTTTCCTATCAAATTATGGGTTTTCTTTTGTAATTTCCCTCTCTGATAGCTTTTGGTTAAAATGCAGCTCTTTTATTAGTTGTCTTTTCTCTGAGTTTTAAAAAGTATATATCCTATATATTTTTTAATCATATGCCAGATACTGCAAGACATTTCATAATGAAACGTGGAGACAGTTACAGTTTGAGGCAAAGAATTCCAAGTAATAGACTGTTTTTAATACCAAAACTTATTATTTGGTAATATGTAACTTTTCTATGAATGTTGATATCAATATTCATTTCAGAAAAAAAGATTAGTGTTGTAATAAAAAAAAACACAATGGTTGATTTACTTTGATTCTCCTCCATAAAGGATAAATCTCTATGGAGAAAATACAAGAGACTTTAACAAAGCTTTCTCACTCTAATGATACCCTCTGTGGTAGGGCATTCCCCAGACATATAGACAGCAATAAGTGAGGAAAACATACCTACATTTTTTTCTGAGCACAACATTTTTTAAATATGTAAATAAAATTTTGTTTATTTTCATTTATTTTGTTGAAATTATCATTATAAATTGGACAAAAATCTTTCCAATGACTTTAGTCACTTTCTGTGTCATTACTCTCTTTTCTAGTATGAAGAGATTTCCATGTGTAAAGAATTAATGATTGTCTTAACTGAATTTATTAGGAATCTGAGATATAAAGAATTTAAATAATTTTATAAAACTAAAAAATATTTTAGGCAAAGCTGTATCTAGAACCCAGGTCTAATGGGACCCGGTCAGTATTGTTTTCCTTTAAGTCGCAAAATTATGGAAACATGAAATAGAGCATAGATGAGCTTATAGATACGTGTCCAAAATGTGTTTAGTTGACTCAAATAGTATTAACACATTAACAAAAAATGTAGGTGTAAAATTTTGCAAAGATGAGTGATGAATATTTTCTCTTAAAATTGGATTTTGAGAAAGGGCTTAGAGGGAAAGCAGTTAAAGAAACCATGAATTACTAATACACACACATATTTCTACATACAGCTGCTTCTCAACTCAACCCAGTTTTCCCATTTCTCCCACATTATTCTTGAGATAATAGTAGGCTTAGATAGAGCTGCCCCTTTCAAAAAGGACTAACACTCAAGAACTTCACAGGTGATACTGTAAACATATCATCAAAAAGAAGGGAGAGAATAAAACAAATAATACACTTCAGACAAATATTCCTTTTTGTTGTAATAAATTTAAAGAAACACATTAGTGCTGAAAAAAGCCTGAGAAACAAGAGCAGAAAGAATCAATGAAAATACACTAGAAGAATGTAACACATAAGCTGATAGAGCTCCGAAGAGAAACTCAGTCAACAGTACACCCATTTTATAAATTAAGACTGCATAAATGTGATTTATCACATAAACAGAACTACAGATAAAAAAAGACATGATTATCACAATAGATGCAGAAAAGGCTTTTGATAAAATTTCACATCCCTTCATGTCATAACCCTCAATAAGCTAGGCATTAAAGGAGCATACTTCAAAATAATAAGAGCCATCTGTGACAAACCCATAGCTAACATTATACTGAATGGGCAAAAGCTGAAAGTTTCCCCCTTGAAAACTTGCACAAGACAAGGATGCCCTCTCTCACCACTGCTCCTATTCAACATAATGTTGAAAGTCCTGGCCAGAGCAATAAGGCAAGAGAAAGAAATAAAAGGCATCAAAATACGGAGAGAGGAGGTCAAACTGTCCCTGTTAACAGACGACATGATTCTATATGTAGAAAATCTCATAGTCCTGGCCCAAAAGATCCTTAAGCTGATAAACAACTTCAGCAAAGTCTCAGGATACAAAATCAATGTACAAAAATTACTAGCACTCCTATACACCAACAACAGCCAAGCCAAGAGTCAAACCAGGAACACAACCCCATTCACAACAGCCACAAAAAGAATAAAATACCTAGCGATACAAGAATAAAATACCTAGGAATACAACTAAGCAGGGAGGTGAAAGAACTCTACAATAAGAATTACAAAACACTGCTCAGAGAAATCAGGGTGACACAAACAAATGAAATAACATTCCATGCTCATGGAACGGAAGAATCAATATCATTAAAATGACCATATTACTCCAAGCAATTTATGGATTCAATGCTATCAAACTACCAATGACATTCTTCACAGAACTAGAAAAAAGTATTCTAAAGTTCATATGGAACAAAAAGAGAGCCCGAATAGCCAATGCAATCCTAAGCAAAAAGAACAAAGCTGGAGGAATCACATTGCCAGACTTCAAAGTGTACTTACAAAGCCACAGTAACCAAAACAGCATGGTACTGGTGCAAAAACAGACACATAGACCAACGGAACAGAATAGAGAGCTCAGAAATAAAGCCATGCACTTACAACCATCTGACCTTTGGCAAAGCTGAAAAAAAGCAATGGGAAAAGGACTCCCTATTCAATAAATGATGCTGGGATAACTGACTAGCTATACGCAGAAGATTGAAACTGGACCCCTTCCTTACACCATATAAAAAATCAACTCAAGATAGATTAAAGAGCTAAATGTAAAACCTAAAACTATAAAAACCCTGAAACATAACTTAGGAAATACCATTTTGGACACAGGAAGTGGCAAAGATCTCATGATGAAAACACCAAAAGCAATTGCAACAAAACAAAAAATTGACAAATGAGACCTAATTAAAGAGCTGCTTCTGCACAGCAAAAGAAACTATAAATGGAGTAAACAGGCAGCCTACAGAAAGGGAGAAAATATTTGCAAACTATGTATCTAACAAAGATCTAAAATTCAGAATCTATATAGAACTTAAACAAATGTACAAGCGTAAAAAAGCACCATTAAAAAGTAGATAAAGGGTGTGAATAGACACTTTTCAAAAGAAGACATACATGCTGCCAACAATCATATGAAAAGAACCTCAACATTATGGATTATTAGCAAAAGGCAAATCAAACCCACAATAAGATACCATCTCACACCAGGCAGAATGGCTATTATTAAAAAGTCAAAAAAAAAAAAATAACAGATGTTGGTGAGGTTGTAGAGAAAAGGGAATGCTTATCTACTACTACTGGGAGTGCAAATTAGTTCAACCATTCTGGATAGCAGTGTAGTGATTCTTCAAAGAACTGAAAACAGAACTGCCATTTGATCCAGCAATCCCATTACTGGATATATACCCAAAGAAATATAAATAATTCTACCATAAAGACACATGTAGGCATATGTTCATTGCAGCACTATTCACAATAGCAAAGACATGGAATTAACCTAACTGCCCATCAGTGGTAGACTGGATTAAAAATGTAGTACATATACACCATAGAATACTATGCAGCCATAAAAAATGAGATCATGTCCTTTGCAGTAACATGGGTGGACTGGAGGCCATTATCCTTAGCAAACTAATGGAGGAACAGAAAACCAAATACTGTATATTTTCACTTTTAAGTGAGAGCTAAATAATGAGAACAAATGGACACGGAAAGGGGAACAACAGACACTGGGGCCTACTTGAGTGAGGAGGTTGGGAGGAGACAGAGATTCAGAGAAAAAAAGAAAGAGTCAGGTACTATGCTTGGTACCCAGGTGATGAAATAATCTGTACAGCAAACCCCTGAGTCATGAGTTTACTATATAACAAACCTGCACATGTACCCCTGAACCTAAAATAAAAGTTAAAATATTAAAAATAAATAAATAAATACATTAAGACTGCAAAATGAAGCTTAAAGAAGCAGAATAGATACTGCTGCAAACAGAGTCATTAACTCATGCCTGAAAAAATTACATAAGACAGAATGTAAAAGAAAAGGAGGAAAAAAGAGGATTAAAGAGGAGCATAATGGATATTGAAGAAAGTTAATATCTTATGTATACATATTTGTGTTTCTAAAAAACAGATAAAAACAAGTAGGAGAAAAATAAACAGCCAAAGTAATAATCAAAGAAAACTTCTCCAAAAGTTGGATAGAAAATAGAAACTGATATTTCAGGGGAAAGAGCATGTATTTAGAACAGCCAACAACATATATATTTTAATAAATGTACTTAGCTGCAAAGTTAGTAGAAAAATAATCCTATGGGAAAATGACCAGAAATATTAAATAACTCATAATAAAGGTGACCAGAAGTGACTACAAGCACATTATATTTCCAAAAACAATGATTAAATGTTCACAGCACACTACAAGAAAAAAATAAAAATTGACTGAAGAGTTTTATGGCCTATCAAATTGAGGTATAAGCATAAAAGCAACAGAAAGATGTTCCAAAACCTGCAAGAATCCAAGAGATAAGGAAACCAGAGGTCTTTTGAAAAGAACTAATTAGTGATCATATGCATCCATGAATCAATAAAAATTTGACAAGTAAGCTGTGGTGTGAAATAACTATTAGAAATTATGGGTAAATAGCTAAATAGAAACCTTGACATTAAAAAAGTAATAATAATACACCAAAGCAAAAGTGGAACATTGTCAGGGAGGGAAGATGGAAGAAAACGTAAGGCTACTCATCTTATTTTCTTTTTCTTTCTTTCTTTTCTTTCTTTCTTTCTTTCTTTCTTTCTTTCTTTCTTTCTTTCTTTCTTCTTTCTTTCTTTCTTTCTTCTTCTTTTTTTTTTTTTTTGAGATGGAATCTCACTCTGTTGCGCAGGCTGGAGTGCAGTGGTGCGATCTCAGCTCACTGCAACATCCACCTCCCGGGTTCAAGCAATTCTCCTGCCTCAGCCTCCTGAGTAGCGAGGATTACAGGTGCGTGCCACCACCCCTGGCTAATTTTTGTATTTTCAGTAGAGACAGGGTCTCATCATGTTGGTCAGGCTGGTATCAAACTCCTGACCTCAGGATCCACCCACCTCGGTCTCCCAAAGAGCTAGGATTACAGGTGTGAGCCACTGCGCCCACCCCGGGCTACTCATTTTCTTTACGTAAGGTTATTGGAAAAGAAGTAAGTTTAATCAAAGTGAGGATCTATAATAGAAAAGAGTTACATCACTAAATAGAGTTCTATTCATTCCTCTTATTCATTCAAGAAAAAGATGTTAAGCAAGTTTATTTTATTTATGCTCTTCCAAGTGTTAAAATATAATCAGTCAAAGAATAATAATCCTTGTAGATACTTAAAAAGCTAAGGGATGTAAGGGAGGCTGAAAAAGAACAACAAAAATTATTTCATAAAATAATAAACTAAGACAGTAAAATATAAATGAGATGCATTTACCTACAAAAAGGGTCTTACTGGATAGCATAATATAATTCAACTTTATGCAATGTATAAGACACATAACTAACAGACACATATCAGATGGGTGGAAAGTAAAAGAATTGCAGGGAAGAAAACAGAGGGAAGGAGAAAGAAAGGAAGAGGGAGAAAAAAAGCTAGGATCTCAACATTAAATGGCTTAAATAAATGCAAAATGCATTATAAAAGACTAACTGTGTAATGATAGAAAGTATAAGTCACAACAAAAACACAACTGTAACAAAGATGTGACAAATAACATAGCATCACAATGTATAGAGTAAAAATCATCAGGATTATAAGAACACACCTCAGCCTTTAACAAACTAAGTAGAATAAAAATAAGTACAATGAGATCTAAATAAAATTAATGTGATAGAGGAAGTTGTACACTTCAAATTATGTATATTACTTAATATTAGGTCATACAGTAAACCACAATAAAAATATGTTTAGTTAATTTTGACTACATTCTATGATTACACATTGTAAAATGAGAAATTATTACTGAAATTGTAAGAAAAACTTCCAATAATTTGAAAAATTTAAAATATAAAATATCAAGAAACACACAAGAATTTTTTAAAAAGGAGAAATTACAAAGTAAATTAGAAACTACAGATAAAATAAAATTATATTAATATACTGTGTGGCAGAACCTGTAGGACATGTCTGCAGCTGTTCTCAGAAAAATCTGGAGCATTAATATATAGGAATTAGAGAAAGACAAGCAAAAGACAGGGAAGGAATTAACTGAGATAAAATAAAAAGATAAATTGACAGAAATTAGAAAAAGCTGGAATTTTCAAATAGGTCAAAAAGCAAGTTTGCCCTCTGGATAAAAAATAATAAAATTGGTTAATCAATTTTTTATTGAAACACAGAGAAAACATCCATTTGAACGGAGAATGCAATTACAAACACATATACAAAGGAAAGTTAAGATGATGCTTTTCTGATTCTACACAAAAATGTTTTAAAAGTTTATGAAGTGAATGCATTTCAGAAAATATGTTAACAAAAGTTGATGAAAGACTAATGTTTCTTATTTTCTCCATTTTATTTCATTTCTTTTCCTTTTTTTTTTTTTTTTTTTTTTTTTTTTTGAGAGACATCATCTCTCTCTGTCACCCAGGCTGGAAGAAGGGCTGATCAGAGTTCACTGCAGCCTCAAACTCCTGGGCTCAAGCAATCCTCCTGCCTCAGCCTTGCACATAGCTGGGATGACAGGTATGCACCACTAGACCCGGTTAATTAAAAAAAAAATTTTTTTTTTTAGAGATGGAGTCTCACTATGTTGCCCAGGCTTGTTCTCATGTTTCTTATTTTGCAATACCTAGATACCTATCATCATCATCTTATCACTACTAGAACTTATAATGATCATGGCAGTAAAATGCATTTGAAACTTTGTCCTGCAGGCTCAGTCATAGACTTGGAGACTATTTCTCCATTTTAAGAGAAGATAGACTTGAAATGCCAATTGGATAGAGAAAGGTGGAAGTAATACTCCTGTCTGAAAGCTGCTTTTATGTTGTTTTACTAAATAACTAATTCTTGGAGAATTCCTCAAGGTGTATGGTGGCAAAATAAATTATATGAGATATTTCTTTGATATTTAGACACAAAATAGTTTTCTGTTCTATAAAGATCTTAATAATAAAACAAATTTACATTAAAAAAGACAAGACCCCCCAAAATCTCATATTAGGTGTTGTAAGAGTTCCCTTTCATTCACACTTGAGCATGAATTAAAACTTGTTTTCTTCTTTTCCTTCCTTTTGAAAAGAATGCTTGAGAGCTTGTTTTATAGACACTTACAATGCTAATTATTTATTTCATAAATGAATATGTGATGCCAAATTCATCCTTTGAAGATTAAAGTAGTATTGTGTTTCTATCACTCTCTTCCTTATGCCCCATTTCCCTCCTCTTGTAAGCTTGTTTGTTTTTTCTGATATCTCTGCATTTTATTGTTTTTAAGACAGTAAAATTTACATTGGAAAATATTACTATAATTTTAGCTGTCACTGTAATTATCATTTTTTGTTTTATATTTTTGTGTTTCATTGACAATGTAACTACTAACATGATTGCATCAAAGTGTATGTCGTTTAATTTAAATGTAACAAAACTTGTAAACTTATAAGTGTCCATGGGACTAGTGGCTATTTGGTTTCTCTCATGGTGAAATATAGTTTTTTATAAAGATAAATAAAAAATAATATGAGACATGAGCCACTGATGAAATTCAATTTCCATCCCTATTTGCATATAATTAGCAAATATCATTTCTCAAGTGTTTCTGTGGCCCAGTCATAGATGCATCAAAGAAGATAAAGTAAGCCAGTACACAGTATCTGACAATAGAAAGTATATAAGCTGATAGGAAAAAAGAATAATCACAGGAAATGACTTTAAAACTCTCACAAAGCACATGCAGAATAAAATTAATGTAAATATTGAATTGTGATGGTCAAAGTATAAGAGAGATTGGGTGGAGTAGGGTTAAACAAGAGAAGTTTCTGGCAATAGCTACATTTTGAAAAGGTAAAGGATATAGAAAATTATTTAGGAAGAAATATTGTGAATGTCATGCTCAAATGTAATTATTTTGTCTTGTTAACTCAATTTCCACAAACCCAGAAACATTGAGATTAATCACAAAATAAGCCAATTTATCCCCACATTTACTCATTTGATAAATCTTAGAGCAGTGATCTTCTCTGGTTAAAAAAATTTTTTTTAAATATGTTTCCATAACATAAAAGTCCTAACATATTGCCTTTTAACTGATCATTTTGATGTACTTTGTAACCATTAACTTATTAATTCTCAGTATAACCCTTTGAGAAAGATAGAAGAGAGAATTATTATAACACCTGATTATTAGTCAGAGAGTGAATCAGAGAAAGGTGAAACACCTCATATCAGGTCACACAATTGGTTAGTAGCAGAGGCAAAAATGAACCATGTCAGAAGTCCCCAGCCATAGGCAACCGAGGCTGCCTTCAAAACATCAATCAGTGAACATATTATGTTTTTTTAATGACATGTTAATGGTTTTAAAAAACCTCTCCTGGTTTAGAATATAAACTGGTATGTGAATATCACAAATTAAGTCAGTTAAATTAGTTCCAGTGAAACCCTTTGTCCTTTAAATGAAAAATTAACCAACTTGGTACATAGATCAGAGCCAGACTAGCTTTAATACACTCAAATTCATATAAACCTCATACTTCCCTGGAGAAAGTTGAGTGTCTAAAGATTTAATTCAAGTTCCAAGGTCAAGCTAAATAGATCTGAATTTCTTCTTAAAATGAGAGTTTCATTCCAGTAAGTATCTGACTTCAATTTATTGCTTCTCATATTGGGATGGCATGGCCCAGGTCACCAAAGAAAGATCAAATCACACGTTGCTACAAAGAAATGTCCTAGAAAGGTTATTTTCCCACTGGTCAGGAAGGGAGCAAATAAGCAATTAAGTGAACAGTTCTCTCCAAGACGATGAGGTGAGAGGCAACAACTTGTGGTCTGCTTTACATAGAGAAACTTGAGTAAATGGTGCCCTACCTTGCTTTCCAAAGGCTTTTGGTACACATGGATAGCTTTAATTGTATTTTGTGGGCTTGAAAGTGTTGCAAAATATGTTTAAAAAACCCACAAGGCTATTATAAATGAACTGCATGATAAAAACCCACAAAACATTTATATTCTACTTTTAAAAATAATGCCGTATCAAAAAGATTACAATCCAAGAGTGTGAACATACATGAAAAACCTCACCTTAATTTCTAATTGATAACCATGCTTCATTTTGCCAGCATTTCAGCTAACATTAAGTTTTGTTTCTGTTTTTATTATTGTGTGTGCTTGTCTTAAATCCACATTTTTTAGAAGCATTCTAACAAGGCAAATGGCTGAAGTTCCTAGTTTTGTAATCGTTTTACTTTTATAGATTTAAGGAGGTGGGAGGGTAGTGTCCTTGACTTTTAATTCACATTTAATTTAATATCTGATCAATTAGAGATAATTGAAAAATGCTGAATAGATAAGAATCATGTTTCATTGGAATTTTTAGCAAAATGTGGTCCTTTGGTGTACTAAAAACCCTTTCAATAATAGTGACAACAATGTGTTTTAGTGACACACAAAAACAATATTCAAGAACTTAATCAGTGAGGTAGTACCATATTTTTAACATAATTTCAGATGCGATCTTATTAAATAGAAGAAAATAATGAATCTCAATTAACAGCATAATTTTAATCAAGCTTTTGAAAAGAACATTTAAAAGCATAACTTAAAAATAGCAAAGTTTCAGTTTTGTTACTAAGAGAATCAGAACTTTAAAATACATTTTGGAGAGATATACAGTCTTGAAAATTCAGGATGACTTTTCCAAAGACCTTTGGAAAGTGATTTCAAAGACAAATATATGTAGATAATTAGAGTATACTTATAAGAACATGAGACCCTGAGTGGATGGTGCTCTTTGGAGATCATGTCAAACTGACAAAATTGCAGATGGGATATTGTTGTACTTGAAAATATGGCAAGGTTGAAGAAATGAACCTTGAGGACAGAATGGAACACTTGAAAGTGTGACGTCTAAAAAAAATCACTTGAGTATATTTAGTTCAATTATTTAAATTATTAAATGACCCAGATAATATCAATATGAACTATTATTTTCTGTGTGGCACAGAAATACAGGACAAGGACAACATAAATGGCAATAAAAAGAGAACACATTCAAAACAGACATAGGTATTATTCATGCCAACAATAATAAAAGTGCAAAAAATCCAAAATGAGTTCAGAAGAAAGAATATTATAGCAAAAATCCTGAGGTAAGTTAGAACAAAAGAGAAATTCTAAAAGGAAAAATCGCTAAACAATCTGAGTGTGCAACCCATACTTTTGCCATTTTCTATTCCCCCTAGTCCAGTACTTGGCACTAAGAAGCAACTCAAATGTACTTGCTTGGTACCTCTCAGCATCCAGGACAGTGGCAAGCTAATAGCATACATATAATATTTCTTATAAGCATTTAACAACAGGTTGGTACAATTTAAAAAAAAAACAATAATATAGTTATCCTAACTTACATTTCTCCACTATTTCAAATTAAAATTTAAAGCTAAAGTTAAAGTTAAAGTAGCTAGTGTCTTATTCATTTCGATCTGCTATAACAATATACCATAGACTGGGTAGCTTATAAACAACAGAAATTTATTTCTCACAGTTCTGTTGGCTGGGAAGTCCAAAAGCAAGGAGCAGGCAGAGTCAGTGCCTCGTGAGGGCCCATTTTCTGATTCATAGATGGCACCTTCCCATTGTGTCTTTACTTGGTAGAAGGGGCAAGGTTGTTCTCTGGACCTCTTTTATAAGGACATTAATCCCATTCATAACAGCTCCACCTTCACAACCTAATCACCTCCCAAAAGGCCTCACCTCCTAATGCCATCACCTTGGGGGTTAGAATTTCAATGTGTAAGTGTTTGGCGAACACAAATATTCAGAGCATAGCAGCCAGCATTTAAAATAAAAAGCTATCATTATTCAATGAAAACCCAGTGTGGTGCTTCCCACTAGCTCTGCAGCAAATTAAAGGAGGTGTGTGGACCAAAATGTGTTATCACTAGGAAATACAGGAAAGCACAGACCATTCCCTGCTTTTGGAGATTCACCATGCACATAAGCTGATTAAAGGCTCTGGGAAGTCTTTCAATACACAATCAATTCCTCCTTATTGGATTTAACCTGGTGTTTCTTAAACTTTCTTATCCACAAACATTTTTCTTTAGAAGGTAGAATGGCAACCATCTATTGACTTCTCTTGAAGCTAGAAAACAGCTTAGAAAATGATGATCTAGAGTAACTGGTCCCTAGTTGCCTCTGATGGTCATGTTACACGGCCATTTAGTCTGTACCTTTCTAGAGATTTAGATAACAGGGGATCCAAATAAAACTATATGAAGGCAAGAATTTTGGACTTGCCTAGTTAATCTAAATTTCTTTGAAGTCTTTAAGCCAGCTTTGCATGAGACCAGGAACTTGACAGACCATATAAAAAGGTTCAGAGTGGCTCTGGTCTCCTAATGACCATTTCTATCCTTCCAGCTCCTTTTTGTTACTTTCACCAGTATTTTTTGACCTCATAGAAACCTTCTTAATCTATCTATTTTATCGTATCTGTCCTATTTCCTTCCCTTACCCATTATGATTGAGTTCCCATGTTGATCATGTGAACTTCTCCTTTCGCAGAACCTCAGTTTCTTTAGTACCTTCATTTTTTTGTTTACCATACTCATCAAGTTCAATGCTAATCTGCCTTCTCTATGCCTACCTTGGGACAACTGAGTATTGCGGGAGAAAACAACAACCATGCAGAACAAATGTGTGACCTTAAATCCCAGCTGGCCTATTATTACCTTACCTCTTCAGTTCCCCTACCTGTTCTCAGAAAGGTCACGTTTTCCTCCACTTTCTCCATAGCCAGTTATCTCTACCCTTACCTTTATCATCAACCTTTCCTGTATTATATTGCCAACATCTTTTCCTCAGACTGAAAACATACTCAAATGTCTCTCATCCAAGAAAATGTTTCCTTAATTCACTATTCCCAAATAGCCAGCTTGCCACTGGCTGAGCTTGATAATCTCTTTTTCGTCCAAATTCCTTGAAACACTAGTTCGCGCCCACCATTTCCAACTCTTCACTGCTCTACCTTCAGGCCTCCACTCTCTCAACTCCAATGAAACTATACTCATTATATTACTAATAACCCTTGAAATCCAAAGGCTTTATTTTAAAGGCTTTAGTTGCGTGCAGGTTTTACTTAATTTTGATATGGCTGATTACTTGTTCTAACTTAGAAGTCTTTATCTTGTTGGAACTTATCATGTCTCACAGTTTTGGTTTTTCTTCCATCTCCATTTGTCCTCCTCTGACTCCTTTGTAAATTCTTTTTCTTAACTTGCTCATAATGTTTTCATATCCCAGTTCTGCCCTTAGTTCACTAAACTTTTTATTTTGGATACCCTGCCCAAGGGATCTTACTCATGCTTGTCTTTAATGGTTTCCCATTGTAAAGTGCTGTCTGTTCAAGCCCCTTTTATCTCTTGCATGGATTACTGAAACAAGATGATGATGAATAGTAGTCATATCTCTGGTCCTTTCCTCGAAAATATTCCCTTCGTTTGGTGACCAAAGTGATCTAGCTAAATGTAAATCTGACTCCTCTGTTTCTCATATCTTATAAGGTGCATTCAGAGGAGGTAGCTATCTGCTCCCTGTGTACCTCTTCAGCCTATTTCTTCTCTACTCCCTGCCTCACTGAACTGCTTGCTTACATACATACTTTGCAGATAATCTATCATTTATTTCTTCTCTTCTTTGCTCATGATGTCCCTGAAATGTACTCAAAGATCATTGCTCTCTTTTCCCACCACTTGCTTAAATAACTCTTGCTCATCCTTTAAAGTTCAGCTAATGGGTTACTTCTTCACATAAATCTTTCCTAACCCTCCCAAGTTGCCTTAGTTACTTTCTTCTGTAGACCATTTTGCAGTATATAGTTTGCTATATATAATTTGCTTCACTTACTACACTATAATATAATTATTCTAAGTTTGTGTTATTACTTCATCCAGTAAATTGTAGATTTCTTATGGCAAAATGTCATATCTAATTAATTTTGTATCTCCAGTGCCTGGCACTCTGCCTAAAACAGAACAATTGCCAATAAATACTGATTGAAGGAAATAATGAATGAAAAATACCAGCTCAGTTCACCTAGCACACTGCAACATGGAGTGTCGCTGCATCTTCCTACAGGTGACAAAATAGAAAACTTCCACAGATCCCCAAATTAAGCACTCCTCATTTAAGATATATAATCATCACATTTTGTGTTTTTGAATTTTTGTTTGAATCATATATTAAATGTATTTTGGAATTTAAATTTAAAGGAAAGAACAATGCATCAAGTCCTTTCATAAAGCAAAGAATCTTCTAAACATAAGAATTACTTTAGTCTTTTTCTTTCCCCTTTCCTTTCTGATTTTTTTTTCCTATCAATTTGTATTTCCAGGCTTTGAGTTACTTAAAGTGAAATATACCTTGTACTAAACTATATTTAAGAGTTTCAGGAAAACAGCCCAGCTCAGAATATGTGATTAAACTTCATGTTCCTTGTGGCTTTTCCAGTTTTGTGCCATTTGCTCATTAGGATAATGAGGATTTCAGCAGTTTCATGGAAAAAGCTTTGAGTTCCTCTAGTGAAGGGAATCACATAAACATAAAGTACTTTTCAGAACAGCAAGTGCAATATTCAACACTCACTTACGTCTTACTGTCATTATCTCTTAAAAAAAGTGAGTGGATTTTTCCCCTGGAATTATCTTCAAAGACTTCTTTGTAGTTGTATTAGTCAGGAAAAATTCAGTGTCATAGCCTGAACTTTCCTTTTTCCCCACAACTCCATATACGTCCCATTGTTCCACAAATAAAGAGAGGTGACTGGATGATAAGAGGATTTTTCAGTCATTTTCAATTAGCTGCAGAATGTTTCTTTACAGTAGCTTGGTTTCTGGTTAGCTGACCCACAGAACAATGACGACCACTTTACACTGCAGAGACAGTGCTGACAGCGGGATAATGAGAGAAACTGTCTCGGGGTTTCCCATTAACAAGTGTAACCAAAGCCCCCATTGGCCTTGCTAATGGGTAATAGCATATTACGCTATTGGTGAAGGCCTTTAGGAGATGGCGGACAAAGTTGCTTAATTAGTGGCATCTGAAGTGTTACCTCTACTGCTCTCCTGAATCTTCAGTTTCCCTACAGTTTCTAATTATTTTCTTTTGAGTAAGAATACAGTACCAGATTTCCCAACTTGATTATGCTTTTCCCCCTCATCTGAATGGGTAATCAAGCACACTTATTTCAATCAAAATACACTCAAATGGAACCTAACCACAGACGTATGAATACAAGCAGTTCTGGTATTGATATTGATTTCCCAGTAAATCATCTTAAGCCCAAATGATCAAAAATCAAGACAGGTCAACATCAAAGAAACAGGAATATTGGCATGAAAGCAAGCTCCGTTGATTGGTACAAATTAAAAGATCATTTATTAGTGATTATGCTGTATAATACTGCCAGTGCCAAATGAATGCAATTAAGATGAAATGGGCCCCTGCAGCTATAGGGGTTAATAAAGACTGAATTCCTAATGATTTTTCCATTAATTATGAAGATGTCCACAAAACAGCCTTAACAAAGTGGTGGCCACCTCAGACAAATCTTTGTAATCTGGGTAAAACACCTTCTTTAATTGGCACATTATTAGGATAGTGTAAAGATTTCAACAGTTCCTAATCATTACTTGCTGGATACAAGGTAGGTAGAAAAAGGGTTTAGATCTTATGTGAGGAACAAAAACAAGAGAACTGATGTTCTGAAAAATCTGAAATAACTCTTATCAGAATCTGATTAATGACATTGTTTCAAGCCCAGAAGAACAAATATAAAGACCATCTTCCTTTTTACATAATCAAATTACTCCCCCATATATCAACAGACTTCTTTTCTCTTCTGTAAATATGATTTCTGTAAGCCCAAAGGAGGAGAGGAGGGAAGAAAGGAGGAAAGGAATAGAGAAAGAATGAGGGAAGGAAAACCCCAGAGGGGATAAATTCATAAACAATTCTGAATTGGATGGAGAACACCACATTTCTTCTAGTAATGATTAGGGACAAAAAGAATCAGTTCAAAGGTGTGCATTCAATCTGCATTTCAGCTTAGATATAGAATTGAATCTGTGGCATCCACTTGGACCTAACAACCTGCTGGTCCTATCCATGGCTAGTCTAATTTAATCCTAATAAAACCAGAAAATATAAAATCCAAATTAAAATAATAAAATATAAAAATCCAAATTTTTTAATTAACTACAAATTGGCCAACCTCTGAAAAAGTATATTTGTGTGTATATATATACAATACAAATATATGTTATATTTTTTAAGAAAAATATATTACAATGTGCTTTTGAAATTGAGTAATTTTGTACCTTTGTACCCCTCCTTAAAAACAATCACAAGACAATTCACCACTATAAAAAGAGATTAGTAGGGTCATGATCAAAATGAGCATGTCAAAATGAGAAAATGTTGCAAGACGCATGGGTTTCTGATGTTTGCCTCATGGTTCACACACACTAAAAAATTAACATGCCAGCTGTAACACATACTGGTCTCATCATTCTTCCTCTCTTCAGGCTGCCCTTTCTGTGACGTTTATGTTGGGCCCTAAGTAGACATTTCTGTTTGGTAAGCTTGTCCATACTCATTTTAGAGACGTGCAAGACCTACTACACATGACCATCTCCCACTCTGATACCTTTAGGCTATGAGGGACAGGCACTGTGCAGATGTGCCTCGGAGCAAAATGGTTTGGATACTGCCTCTAGTACTTACCATATCTTTGACCTTGAGCAAGTCACTTCACTTGCCGGAGCCTCTGGTTTCCTACCTGTGAAATGGCCAATTAATCTGCTCATCTTGCAGTTACGACATAAAATCTAAATAAGATAATATATGTAAAGTTCTCAACCTAATGCTTAACTACACAGTAAATATTCAATAACTGGCTGGTATATTTTTCCCTCTTTTAATTTTTAAAGGTTATTATTTTAAAATCACTTGTTATTTTAACACTTGTGTTGCTCAGTAAATTAGAAAGCACAAAGCTCTAGAGAGCCTCACAAAATCTTGGGTGGGCCTGCAGTTGGTTAATCATGAAAATTAATTTTCAACCCAAGTAGTTATCAAAGTGTGCTCTGAAAATTGTTTACTATGTTTGCATTTACACCTATTTGTGATACACAGAAACATTCTTCTCCCTGTTTTATATATTTTTATTTATACAATAAATACACAATAAGTAGGAAGAAGGAACATTGGGGGAGGGATTTTCTTTTAATTAAAATACTTTCAATGAAATTTCATTGTTACTTCTTGTTCTTTAACTCAGGAAAATAAATGTAAATATCCTTTCGTATTTTGTGTGTGTTGTGTTTCTGTTCTTTTGTGGTATAAAATACATTTCCTAGTAGGTGTGAAAACAGCTTGAAAGCCACTGAATTGGAGTGCAAGCTTCTTAAGGACAGGTCTGGGTCATTTTTATTTTTTGTAAAGCATTAAGTATACCGTCAAGAGTAAGAAAAGTAATAGACATCACCGAAAGGAGGCTTGCCTCAAGTCAGAATTTATGAAAAACTATGTATTTGTGGAGAAAGACTTCCCAGGAGACAGGAGGCTCAGCTCCAGCCAGCACTTTTACTTTTCAGCTTTGATAAGCAGCAAAATTTCCAGCAATATTAAAATATAAATATCTCTATGAAGATTACTGCTCTGGAGGTCATTTTCTGATTTCCTTTAAAGTCATCCAGTTCACTCAAATGTATTTTTCTGAGTGCCTTGACGGCCTTCCTATTGTGCTTCAAGGATAACCACAAGGGCTGTGTAGCAAGTGTGGATTTTTTTTTTCCTTTGGAGAAGCTATTTCATGTAATGCAAAAAAGGGTTATATCCTCTCAACCTCAGGCTTGAGAGGCACGCGAGCCTGCCTAGCAACTTCAACGGAAGAAACTTTTAAAATTATTATGGGGCTGGCTGACTTCTTTTTTCTTTCTTTTTTTTTATGACTTGATTTTGTGCTTTTCCTGAGATGTGGTTTTCCAAATTTTATTTTTATTTTGCACATGTTGTTTCAGACTGGTGAAATGTTCATGAATAATGCTAGTTTATTTTCATAACTTTGTTTTATGAGAAGAAAGTTGCCGAGAGACATTTTCTCAGAATGGAGCAGATATGTTTGGTAGGTGAGGACGGACAGATGGTGTCAGGAGAAATTTTGTGTTATAGGGAAGAATAATCAGGGCTGTGCTTTCCCAGATATCCACAGCCAGTCAGGCTCCTCTGGGGAAAGGTGCAATTTGCATGTTTCTTTCATCAAATGTTTCTGGTGTCATATTAATGGCTTAAAAGAAGATAAGCAGCTTTTTCCTTTTGTGTTATTCAAATACTGAATGGTTCTTTTTTACAGAATTAGTTTATAAATAAATAAAACACCTGAAAATGGTCAATCCTGGTATATCTCTAAACTTCTGGTCCAATTATGGCAAAATCAGATCTAAGATAATTTAGTAATTTACATAGCATGCTGGTTAATTTTTACTCATCATATGCTGACAGTGAGCAATACCACTTTATTGGATTGATAAGAAACTCTACATTCTTTAGATTTTCGGTAATAAGTTTCATTGCATAATATGTACTGTATACCTTTATCAGGTTGATAATATTGTATACTATTGATATATCAGTGATTTTGAATTTATAGGTACACCTTTTATACAATTTTCAGGCAACAAATAATTGCAATAAGGTTTTGATGCTAATTTTTAGTCTCCTCCCAAGTTTTCCTGATAGAATCTTATTTGTGAATACTGAAGTATATAAGATCAATTCCCTTAATTGTACCAAAAGAGGAGACCTACAGTAAAATTTGGCTGCTGTATTTGCAACGATACATTCTTGGCTTTCTCATGTTCTTCTCAGGTACAAGTTTTTCAGCTGATGGAATCATATATGTCCTATCTCTGAGCAAACCTTGACTAAATACACATAAAATGGGGAATTAGTCTTACCCTGTTCACTGACACAATATATACCCTGCTTATGCTCCCCACTCCCTAAAAAGCAAATCTCACATTTTGAAAATGCACTTACACACACACACACACACACACACACACGAACACACTCCTCCAACAACAGCAGGCACCTGCTGCTAAAGCTTTACTCTCTTTTTCCCCTTTCACTCAATCAGCATGAACTCCCACCAAACCCGTACCTGTACTTTCCAACTTTCCTTTCTCACACTCTAGTACCCCCCAGCACTCAACAGCCCCCCAGTTAATTATACTGTAAATTTACAGCTTTCACTCAGTCAACTTACATTTATTAAGCTCTACTCATTAAGCTCCAGTTAGTGATTCACAGTAGGTAAAGCTCTGGGATATGACAATGAATAAGATGGACATGTCACTGCCCTTAATTTCAGTTCCTGACAAGGAAATAAGCAACTGCAATATATCGGGACACACGCTGGTATAGCAGCAACAGATATCATGAGGGCAAACCTCACTGGGTCAAGTAATGTAAGAAGAATTGCTGAACTTGAGGTGGGCTCTCTCTGTAGCTACTTCTCTGACTGAAGCCCATCATGAAACTGGGCAGACCTAATGGGGTCCTGACTTCTTGGTCCTGTTCCATGTGCTTAGTAGCAACTACTCTACTTCAAACCAGATGGGACCACATCTATGACCCTCCTCTGTACACTGCTGCTGTGGCCACATCCAGTCTTTCCCCATGTCTCCCTTGGTTCCCTACCCCTCTGAACTCTGCACTTGGGTCTGCTGGCCATCCCTCTCTCCTTCCCTTCTTCCCTCTGACCTCACTGTTACTTCCTCAAGCCCAGATCACCATTTGCCTTTGAAACTTAGTTCTGTTCCTACTCCATCCCTGGCCTCTGTGGATTTTCATAAAGATGATGTTATTGAGAAAATTTACAGACTCCACAATTTGGGAGCAAAATATTACTACAATTTCTTAATGGCTGAAGAGTATATATGAGGTCTCTATACACATTCAAAACCAGTAGTATATCAAAGGGCTCTTTACTGTCCTATATCAAAACTGTTGTTTTATTATGGTTATTTAAGAGACAAGGAAATTACATGGCGATTAAAAGCATAGGAGTCTAAAACCTACCTGTCTGCATTTTTATTCTGACTCCACTACTATGTGACATTATTTCTTCACCTTTCTGTATCTCAATTTCCTCATCTGAAAAGCAAGGATAAGAGTATCTACATGTAAGATTATTTGGGACATTTAAAGTTAAATATATGTAGAACACTTAGAAGAGCACCTGGCACATATAGTGGGCATTCAATTAACATTAGCCATAATTATTAATATATTATTGTTATTTGTCATTGTTGTTGTTATTGTTAGAGAGGTAAGTGACTCCACAAGGACAGTAAAGAACCAGGATTTCGACCGAGTTTTGTTCTATTCAGTGAATGAATTAATGACTGAATGATACCACTCTGCTTCACTCAAAGGGGAACAAGATTTTCCCTCCACTTTGGTCTTCAGTTGCACATTGAATTAATTATACTGCTTAGGTCACCATTTTATCCTAAGTTTATGCATAACCTTATTTTCCTTAATTAATTTTTTCCCATAATGCAATAATCACCTGTGAACTACCCTCCTCAAAAAAAATCCAGGGCCTTAGCAATACATTGTAGCAGACTGTATTTTCCAAAAGTGACCATAATAATATTTCCAGTTCCACATACTCTTTGAAAACCTTGTCTTCCTCCCCTCCTCATGAAGTGGTAAATCTTTTTCCTCTTCCCTTCAACTCGGGAAGGGCTTTGTGACTACCTTGATGAATAGAGAATAAGGTGTAAGTGGTACTGCTTAGCTTCTGGAACTAGATCATGGGAGATAATATGGCTTCTGCCTGTTTCTCAACCTATCTCTCTTTATCTTTCATGATGCTCATCCTCAGAGGATAGCTCCAGGCTATGAGGAAGCCCAAAGTAGACCACTCAGAGGGAATAGATAAAAAGGCCCACTTGGAGAGGGTCTGAGGTTCCCAGCAGACAGCACCGATTTTCAGAAATAACAGTGAATAACACTAGATGATTATATTCCTCTAGTCTTTGAATATTATAGCTGAGGCATCAGACCTGATGAGGGAGAGACAATTGTCTTATGATCATCATAAATGACTATTTTTTACCACTAAGTTTTGGGGAAATTTTTCATGTAGTTATATTAAGGAACAGAAATCACTACCTGAAAGTGGGTTGCTACCATAACAAAATTCTACAAAAGTGGCAGTGGAAATTGGAAGAGTGTTGAAGAGATTGGCAGTATCCCACTACAGAGCCATTTGGAAGCTGGAGAACTTTCATGATTCACACTGCTGCCACATTGTAGTCATCCAGGCAGTCAAAAAGTCTCAACCAGATTCAAGAGGAAGAAAATAGTCCCCACGCTTTTATGTTAATGATAAACTTTTGAAGAGCCTATGGGACAAGAAACATTGCTTTGACCATTTTTGGAAAATAAAATCTGCCACAGTCCACTCTCTGATGACCACATTTACATCCCTCCTGCATTAAAAATATATATATTCACCACCTTCCTAAGAACCTTCATGTTGTCTTGCAACTTCAGATGGAAAACATCAAGGGGATGGAATCATCTGAAGCCTCATTCACTCACAGAGTTGGTGGTTAATTCTGGTTATCAGCTGGGGCAGACATCATGGAAAAGTGGCCAGCCATCATGCCACACCATGTCTGACTTTCTGACCTACAGAAACCATGAGTGTAATAAATGGCTGTTTTATTATACAAAATTTGGGAGTAATGTTTCTGCACAGGCTCAGCAACTGAAACATACATCGAATTGTGTGGTTTCCCTACCCAAGGTAATCATTCTCCTGAATCTCCAATTTGTCACACCCCAACTTTTCATGTTGTATCATTTTTATTGCATCTTTATTAGTATCATAAAAGTGTATACTTTTTATTTTAGTTTTTTTAAGAGTAGTCTGCCACTTTTGAATATCTTTTTTTTTTTTTTTAACTCAAGCCATTATTCCTAGCAAATGAACTCAGGAACAGAAAGCTGAATACCGCATGTTCTCACTTACAAGTGGGAGCTGCCTGATGAGAACACATGGACACATAGAGGGGAACAACGCACATTGGGGCCTTTCAGAGGGCAGAGGGTGGGAGGAGGGAGAGGATCAGGAAAATAACTAATGGGTACTAATTAAATAATCTGTACAACAAAAAGCTATGACACAAGTTTTCCTATATAACAAACCAGCACTTATACCCCTGAACTTAAAACAAGTTAAAATAAAATAATATACTGCCAAGATTCACCCGTATTGATGCTTCTCACTACAGTCGGTTTGTTGTGACTATGGTCTTATATTTTATTGTGTAAATAGACCACAATTTATTTATTGTCTTAGCAGCTGAAGGACATTTCTCCAGGTTTTTGCTGTTGTGAATAGAGCTGCTATGAAGAGTCTGGGCTATGTCTGGGAATGGAATTGCTAGGTAATACAAATATTCAACATTAAAACATAAATATTCAAATTGGCTGCACCTATTTATTCTTCCTCAAGCAGTGGATAAGAGATTTTGTGGATCCCATGAAGGATTTGGGTGAAAAGAATAGGTATAAATTCAAATTCCCTTGACCCTGATTAAAATGTTGCTACTATCACATGAAGTGGACAATACTAGAGATCCCTTGCCTCACTGTGTTGATGTTTCCATATCTGCCATTGTTGTTATAGTCAGACAATGATTTAGGTATTTTAACACCCACACACACACACATACACACACAGGCACACAGATAGAGAAGAGCATCCTGCTGTGCAGTGTGTGCTCATATTCCTCCTTCCCACCATCCTTGCTGATAATCCAGGTACTTTCCCAATTCTCCTAGCTCCTGAAAGAGGAGGAAGACATGGGAAGGATAAGGATAACAAGTACAGAACTCCAGAGACAATGTTCAGGCCTGACAAAGGAGCGACTGGCTGGATATTAAAGATTTATAATTCAACTGACATGTGTTGATCGATTTACTTTTGCTGTTTCAGAATTTACACTAAATGTTTTCATTTATTTGTAAGGCAGTCTTGCAACTAGCACTATATAATGTGCTAAGTAGGATGAATGCTTAAGAGGCAAGCAGCTGCCGATGCAAAACAGGCATGAAGCCATAAACACACAGCATGCTTGTAAGGGAGCTCTGTTATAGCAAATCAGGGGAAAGGACAGTCAAGCCATCAATGGAGAATAGAAAATACTAAGGTGTCTATATATTATTTTGAATGACCTCAATAATGTAGCATAATTGCAGATATAACCTTGAAGATTGAAAGGGGAGAATTAGAAAAGTATTGAAGATTTTTTTAAGTAGAAATTGACCAATTAAAAGTCCTATGTAACATCCTTCTATTTCTTTAGTAACCTATTGATCAGATGAAGAGAATTATAGAAAAGGGCACCAAATAGAATTAGAGAAAAGGACACCAAATAGAAAGAACAGTGTATCTATGTGTCTACTCATTTATCTATCTATGATAAAAGAAACCATAGTTTTCCATGCATTATTTCACATCCTTTTAAAAATACTCTCCTCAAGTGCAAATTTTAACAAAAATTTACAAAACATTAAAGATCAATGAACCCCCAACTTTTGTAAAGAAAGCATATTTATAAAGAAGTGAGATTCCCACAGGAATTCCTTGAGGAAAGCAATTCACTGTACCTCACAGACAGCAACACTGAGAAAAAATATACTTATTAGTCTATTTATTTAAACAGCCAAATACAGCATTTAATTCAATTATAAGAGACAGATGACCATTGTCTTTTTAAAAAATGACAAAATTTGACATTTCAGATGTGCCTTTGTTGTATCACTTTCTTGGGTCACTGTCAGTGCATCTTTATGCAATGTGGCTCATATTAGCATTTTGGAAATACTCTACACATTTCTGTCTCTGCAATGTAACTGTAAACTAAAATGATGGAGCATCGCATTTGTCAATAAGATGGATAATAATAGAAACAAGAGGGGTCCCACTCAATTCTATACCCTGAGAGAGTCAGAGTTCTAACGAATATGCAGATAAAGCTGAGACCTCCTTTAAGATATCCAGGAGAGCTTTGCCTGGCCTTCTGAGCAGAGGGGCTCTGAACAATGTAACTATTAAATATACAATGCAGAAAGAATTGCCCTTAATACTGGGCAGGGTGCACACTGTGAGGAATTTTTTAAGGAGTCTTTTAAAATAGAAAATGGCCTGTTTGAAAGAAAATGGATTATAACAATTGTGTCCTTCTGGGATCCCCAGATATTTCTGCTATGGCTGCCTCCCCAGTGTAGCAATGGGTCTGTCGGCACTTACCAACATTTCCCGAGTTAACAGGGTCATTAGTGTTCTTGCATTTAGATTGCAAAAGCTCAGACTTCTAAGCTTTATTTACTTTCAGCTGTAATTATTTCTTGTTAGTATATTAATGACAAATAATATACACTGGAAGAATCCACTGATAGCAAGAAGGTTGGCAAAAAGGATGTAGTCGTATTTCTAAATTTTTTAGATATATAGGTGTTTGATCTTACTCTTCTACTCAAAGTATTTGATTACAGCTTGCCCCTAAAAATATGACTGTTGAGAAATTCCACTAACCCTTTTATTAGTTACCGCTATAGTTTTCACTTTCAGCATAAATAGTCGTGTTTTATGAGGTACTAGTTTGGAGGTGACATACAGTGATTCGGAGTTCAGACTCTAGCAATAGACAGTACAGTGATCGAATTCTGCGTCTTTTACTTTTTAGCTTTGTAACCTCGGGCCAGTTACCTCATTTTCCCCCATAAGATGACTACAGTACTAGTATTACATAATCATGAAGTTTAAATTAGATAATTCAGGTAGAACATTTAGCATAATGCCCATCACACAGTAACAGCTTAAAAAGTTGGGAATTAACACAATTACTTTAAACATCAGGGCCATAGATCAAATTGATGCAATAAATTATAATATTAAAAGCCACTGAGGATGAGTTTGAAATAATGAAACAACAAAACCTCCAGCTGATTAGACTCTGCTTGACTCTGGGGGCAGACACTTTTGTATGGAAGGCATTAGTGGGAATATGCCTTTGGGTGATTGAAGAAACTCTTCAAGGTAGCACTCAATCTGGAACACATTCTGGTTTCTGACCAAAGCTGCAAAGAGGTATGGTTGAGCACCTGTACACTGAAGTAAGCTTCTTGGGAGAGTAGCATCGCTTACAGAATCTACAGCTGTGTACTAATAGACTTCAGTAGCAATATAAAGAATTAAACCAGACCATTGAATTGCTGTGCCTAAAATCTGTGTGGTTGAGATATGAGGGATTTTTAAATTATTATTGAAGTAGCTTAGAGAAGTAGAGGTAGGAAGACTGAAAACCCTCTGCAATACTTGTGATTAAGAGCCAAGACTTCAGAGCTGAGCCAATATAGATTTTCTTTTTTACTCTACCACTTACTGGCTATATGACTTTAAGGAAATGACTTGACCTTTCTGAGTCTTCGTGTCTCACCTATAAAATAAGTACAATAGTGTCTATTGTAGAATTGCCTTCAGGATTAAATGGAATAAGGAATAGAAATTGCCTTGCAGGGTTTCAGCTTATTATGAGTTTTCTAACTAACAGCATTGTTACACTGCATTTATCACATCAGCATTGTTAAGAGAAAACAAACATCTATCAATCAGTGGATATTGACGGAGGACCTATTGTACAACAGGCACCATGGTGATGTCATATATATATGTCATATATTTATGACTATATATGTTATGAAATATATATATTTATGACATATGTGTGTGTGTATATATATATATATATGTATATGTGTATATATATATATGTGACAGAGACAGAGAGAGAGAGAGAGAGAGACGCTCTTTTGTCCCTAAGGATCCAGAGAGTGCTACAGCATAGGAGCTATAGAAACAAAGAGAAAGGGATATCTAAGTGGACTTGAGGCCCAGATTATTAAAGGAGTCAAGCTTAAATTGAGAGCTGACAGATAAATAGCAGGGGCCAGGGAACTTGGTTCCAGAGAGCGTTTCTGGGAATAAGGACATCACATTCTCAAATGAAGCATCAGCATGTGGCATGTTCAGAGACTAGATGCTGAGCCAGATCAACATGGATTGGAACACAAGGAAAATAAGTAAAATAAGATTTTTAAGTCAAAAGGGGTCTAACCCTACAACATAAATTCTGGTTGCATTTATCTGAATCCTTCATTAATTGGTGGGAATAACAAATTTACATGCTAATCCACAGGCTGACCTTTTGGTCTTCTGACCAAAAAATAAATGACAAGTACTGAATAACAGTAGTCTTTTCCTTTTCTTGTCTTTCATGTTGTACTAATCTGATGTTTATCATGCCTTCAAGGTTATTCTCATATTGCAAAACTCATAAGAGAAAAAGAGAGGAATTGAAGGAGGAGAGAAGAAAATGCTTTACAATGTAGTAAGATATATGTAAAGACATCTCATTAAAACACTGACTGTATATAATTATGTTGGTAATGTGTACATGGCTCATTTCATATGTGTTTGTCCAGAAATAATCTTGTTTCTGGCTTCTTTAAATATAACAGCTGGTTAAATTAGATCAGGTACCTGATCCCATACTAAGCTGTATACATCTGATACCACATGAGATCTCACAGAACGATGATGAAGTAGGTACACTTTGCATTTTACATATGTAGAAAGTGAAGCTTAGAGAAATAATGTGACTTGTGCAGTTTCAAGGAATGAAGAGTAGAGGTCTGGGGACTTGAACCCATCCTTTGTGAGTTGGAAGCCTATGCTATTTGCATTACATTAAACAATACTTTGCTACCCAACAGGAGAGACCATGCCATGCCACAGAAAAGCTCACTTGCATTTTCAGGCATGGTCTTGGAGCCTGAATCCAAGGACCCAGAAAAGCAAAGCCCTACATTAAAACAAGGCTTCATTAAACAACTGTATTTGTTTTAAGTCCTAAAAAAACTACTTATCTCAGTTAATTTGGTCCAGTGTTTCTCCACTATATGAAGAGTTAAAATGTTTTTCCCAGTGATGGAATTATATGTCATTAGGACAGAGTTAAAGCAGTGCATATGAGAAAAGAAAGCACTTGAGGTTACGACTAAAACAAAGTAAACAAAACATTTATTCTTCCAGATATCCCGAAGTATAGTAAAAAATGTGGCACGGAAACTCAAGCATTAACCAAAATTAGCCATTTGCCTTGTAAATGAGGTCATTAATGCTCAACTTAAGACGGATAGTAACCTGTTGCTTCCCTTTAATTGGGTAAGAAAGTTACATACAGCATATATCTGACTGCAGGCTTCTGTAGTTAGCTGTGATTTCCAAATGGCTCGATGTGAAATACAAATCTTACAAACCGTTAGGCTATTAATAGTCATAGCAAATATTTCAAAATTGTCCATTAGCTGAATAGAGTTGGCTATATTATTGCTTAGATAAATGTCATAGTGCATCTAGGATAGTAATAAAGCCAAACTTACCCCTCAAATTCCATTGCTTGTGTGCTATTCCAATCAGGGCACACCATTATTTGAATACGTTAATAAATATCAATGAATTGTATTTTGGAAGATATTAAACAAGTGAACATGTGACACAAAGGAAAGTAGAATAACTTTTAAAATTCCATTAATATACCAAAAATTAAATGTGTAAACATTGGGTGTGCTTTCTCATAACACTCTTCAGAATTGTTCAGGGAAGCACGTAAATTGTAATAAGGGGAAGAAGCTCTCAGAGAGAAAAGCCTCAAACTGTTCTTAGCTTTGGTAAGCACAGTGCTCTGAACACAGTAGGAACACAATCAGTGCTGTGACCAATGGGCTCATAAATGTGGAGCGTCTTGAAATTAATGATAACTTTAACATGTCTGAGGCCTTGAACTTATCTTACAAATTGGTCCTTGGAAAGAATAAAAGAAGAAAAATATTAGGCAATCAGAAGTAATGAAGATCTTGTAAAAATAGCTATCTACAAAAGCAGGCTAAGTGAGTCCTTGGACAGTCGGCATATCTACAAATCAGCAGGTCCAGATGATATACCTTCTATCTGTGGGATGAAAGAAACTGGCAAGCATGCTAACTGCATCATTTACAGTTATTTTTGAAAAACTGTGGGGATCTAGAGAACTGCAAGAGATGAAAAGGAAAGAAAATACAATGTTCTACTTACATTTACAAAGGAGATGAAAATGATCCCCAGAAAACTCAAGGATAATTAAAGCTAAGGAAAAGGGGGATATTCTAATAGCCTATATAAAGATGACGATTAGAGAATATATTCATATTCAGATAAAAGATTTTTTAAGGTTAAAATACAAAAGGAACTTGAATATAAAATAATGTGAATTTGAGTAACACTTCAAAGTGTTTGTTTATAATTGTTTAAGCAATACAATTTTCTCAAACATGAGCTATAGCTACCCACGCAAAAATAGTTATAGGATTATAAATAATAATTATAAACATGAAATTATCATTTCAAAAATACTAAGGAAATATGATGGTCTTTAACATCATCTTTATGTAGATAACATTATTGTGTTTGCATTGAACAAATGTTAACTCAACGTCTCTTATGTACCAAACACCACACTGTATGCTGAGAGCATAAAGATGAATAAGGCAGGTTTCTTGACCAATTACACAAGAAGTGTTTAATTAGCATAGGAGCTTGAACATACCAAGCATGTAATAAAGTTGACTATAATTATTGCTAGTTATTAATTTGCAAAAACATTTTTACATAGTGGAGTTCTAGTCGTTTTCCTATTTGACCTAATCATTGTCTTAATAACTGGTTTCCGACAGAGGGATCAAAGGGGGACATTTTGTGAAATTTTAAGTGGGTGGCAACAGGATGCTGATCTTACCCTTTCTCTCTCTCCAGAAATGGTGACTCATGACTTTTGCCAGTTTTGTGATCTCTTCCCCCCACCCCCACCCCACCACACTTCAAAGCTAATAATCAGGACAAATTTTACACTTTATGTGCACATTAAATGTATATATAGATTTTTGTTCTGGATTCCTATAAGAACTGGAGAACTCTAGCCTTAGTTTCTTATTTTACAGGACTTACTTGTTTTGTACCTTAGACAGAACTGAGTAAATAAAATACGGTCCCCATTTTGACAGATGTGGAAACTGAAATCCAAAGAGCTTAAGCTTAATCCAAAGAGTTGAGATTTATTGAGCCCTTACTATGTACTAGGCACTATTCTAAACACTTTTCATATATTAACTATTTTTAAAACTCACAGCAATCCTGTGAGGTAGGTAGGTAACTTTATACTGATTTTACTGATGAAGGAAGTGAGACCCAAGAGAGTCTATGAAGTGGATGGCTATGTGGTTGACAAGAATCACTAAAGGCTCATCTACTTCCCACCTCCACATAGTAGGCTGTCCTGACCAGTCATGTTAGCCTCTGCTTTCTGATCTGCAGAGATGGTCCCACACTTGAGAGTGTCGGATTCTGGGGCCCAGTTCCTTCTGGTTGGCCTTGGTCCACTGAAATCAATCTGTCAATGACTTGACCCTTTTTTGAGCTCTGGCAGCAAGTTTTTTCCATTTTTGTTAAAAACTGAAATATAAATCGATACAAACTTAAACCTCTGTTTTTTTTTTAAATTTTATTATACTTTAAGTTTTAGGGTACATGTGCACAACGTGCAGGTTTTTTACATATGTATACATGTGCCATGTTGGTGTGCTGCACCCATTAACTCGTCATTTAGCATTAGGTATATCTCCTAATGCTATCCCTCCCCCCTCCCCCCACCCCACAACAGTCCCCGGTGTGTGATGTTCCCCTTCCTGTGTCCATGTGTTCTCATTGTTCAATTCCCACCTATGAGTGAGAACATACGGTGTTTGGTTTTTTGTCCTTGCGATAGTTTGCAACCCCTGTTATTTTTAATTGTCCTTTCAACAATTCTTCATATTGCCATAAGATTAATCATCCTATAACATTTTGGTCATTTTACATATGACCCTCCAAATCTTCAATGACTCTTTATTGCTAAGTTCATTTGTTTAGCCTGCCATTCCAGAGACTTTGAGATCTGGCTCAGATTCTCTGTGACCCTGTCTTGCATTGCATAATGGTGAAAAACACAAGATTTTGGGACATGCTGTCTGGACATGAATCCAAGTTCTATTGTTTGTTAGCTATATATCTTTAGACAATCATTTTGCCTTTCTGAATTCCAGTTTCTTAATTTGTAACAAAATTTATTGAACGCTTACTTTGTGGCCAGAATTGTTTCATTATAATATTTGATCCTTACAATAACCCTATGAATTATCTCCCTTATAACTAAGAGGAATCGGGGCCTGAATCAGTTTTGTTTAATGGTCAAAGACACACACATAGAAAAGAAGGACTTAAGATTTGAGTTTAAGTCCACTTCAGAGCCTGAACATGTCATCATTCTTGTTTATCGACTGCCATGGCATGAATATGAAAATACCACTAGGATGCAGGCTCCAGGAGGCCAAAGGCCTCTGTCTTCCTCATTGCTACATCATAGCTGGGTTTCTGGGTATGGTATGTGCAGCGCATGTTTCAGGAGAAATTATCTAATGAAAACACTTTGAAAACCCCCGATTTATACCCATGACTTGGGAGACAATCAACCACTTTTTATATTGACTCTGTGCTGTAAAGACAGAGGAATTTTTCCTGGCACTTAGCTGAGGTTCAGTAAATACCTGTTGATTAATTCACTGAATAATAAATTCATATTAGACAATATACAAACGTTTTCCTAACAGATGGATACCATCAGAGTATCAATCCTTGTAAAAGATTCCCAGGCGGTTCTGCCTGCAGTTTCCAGCTCAGGCTAGAACAACCTATAATGAAGACACTTGTGCTCATCCTCTTGTGTGTTTCAGGAGATGAGGAAAAAGAATATGGCAACAGCCTGTGTTCTAGACTCAGGCATATCAATTGTTTCTTATTCACTAATTCTGTCTTGGCTGTCAGGAAGCTCAGAGTTAAATGTGATGCACAATTGCAGAGCCCAACTTCAACTCACTGTTTCTGATAAAATTATGTTCTGTCTTTCATTACTTGATGGATTCGTTTATCTTTATTTTAATGTTTTTCTTATATCTGTATTTTGCAAGCTAAAACACTTAAATTATTTTTTAAAATAAGCAAGTTTATACATAATAGGCAAATAGATCATGATATGCTTGCAAATACATGCCTCGTTAATGCTGAATTCTCAGACTCCAGGCTCAGGCTGCTGAGAACTGTGGCAGCTATGTGATATCTTTATCCTTAGTCAATGCCCTTGGGAGTGGACTTCTCTGTCTGTATGTTCTGTACTTCCCAAATTTTTATAGAACTGTTGGAACCCAATTAAGAGAGTCTGCCAGGCAACTTCTGCCTTGTCCTGGACATACTCCTATCACTTCTCAGCTACCTTGCTCATGCTAGTGACACGTTACTCCATCTAAAACCTTTAATACTCATGCCACAAACCACTAGGGCTGGTTCACTCTGAAACAAATTTCTTATCATGGGAGAATATAAGGTTACCTTTATTCACAGAAAATTAATTATTTTTATCCATAATTTACAGAAAGACACCACATTGTATCGGGATAAGACAAAACATATATTTTTTTCAATTAACTATTTCTGGTTTCAAATTCCAGCTTCACTTTCTACAGTATTTTACTTCTCTGTGCTTTGGTTTCCTAATCCTTAAAATGATCTAATAAAGGCCTCTTCATATGGTGATGGTGAGAATTCATTTGAAATAATACAAGTGGAAATATGACAGTTTGAATATTCTTTTGTTCTTTCCTAGATTTTTAATGGCCCACATACATTATATTCTTTTTTATTATTACTTATTTTGAGACAGGGCTGGCTTTGTCACCCAGACTAGAGTACACTTGCACAATCATAGCTCACTGAAAACTCCACCTTCCTGACTCAAGCCATCCTCTCACCTCAGCCTTCGAGTAGCTGGGACTACAGGCATGTGCCACCACACCCGTCTAATTTTTTGTGGAGATGGGGTTTTGCCATGTTGACCAGGCTGGAGTCGAACTCCTGGGCTCAAGCAATCCACCTGCCTCAGCCTCCCAAAGTGTTGAGATTACAGGTGTGAGCCACTGTGCCTGGCCCACATATATTACATTCTACTGTGGAATATGAATCATCAGACACATTTTCTCTGAATAGCAGATAGCAAAAAGCCTAGGGGAGGAGAAAAAAAAAGGGAATAATGCTATCTTCCATATTTAAGAGAGAATAAAGTTGATTTTATTGCTCCTAGGGGGATAACAAGGGGTACTCTTGTGGGTTCCAGTTAGAAGGAGGCAGATTTTGACCCCATAGCCAGAGAAAAATGTTAATAATTATAGTTTTCCAAACTTTTAATGGGCTGACTCATTTGATGAGCTTCCCTTCACAGGAAGTATTCAAGCAAATACTCATCATCTAGTACTCTCCTCCAAGGAGAGTCTTCTGATTTGGGTGGGAGTTTAAACAACACACCTATAGGATGTCTCAAAGCAAATATGCTGAAGGTTAGAACAATCTGACTGTGACATCTCTCTGGGTTTTTTGACTCTCTTTATGTCTTTCTTGAAGCTACAATCTGGGTTGAAAAGGCCATTTTTCCTAGAAAAAGGACTATTTTTTGGCAAGGGTTCATGATTCTAAATACTTATTTCTGTATGAAATATTCATTGTGTTTCAGACACAGTCGAGATGTGAAAAAATATAAAAAGACATTTCCTCATTTGGATATTGATTTATTTATTAATCCATTCATTCATATGTTTATTTATATATTCGTCCAACAATTGCAGTGTTTTTACTGAATGTCTTACTAGGTTTATGGCAATGTTTTAGGCTCTGAAGATATGCCAATATATTCATAGATTTTACATTTAAGTGGAAGAGACTACAATAAAATTTACGAACAAATATTAATTTTTAATTTTTTTTAAGTATTTTTTTCATCTTGCAGAAAACTAAAATAAAAAATCACAGAATATCAGCATGAAATCCCCTTGAAAAGCAGAGGGCAAATCCCTTCTAAACCAAGTCTCTCGCAAAACTGGTAGATCAGCTGCACACAGTTCTCCCCCTCCTGCCACTCAGAAAATGCAACAGCTGTAGATCATTATCTTCAGGAAGCCCCTCTTGGTGGGATCTAAACAATGATGGTTTTATCTGAACCTTCTTCTGTGCTCAATATAATGTGTATATTCAGATGGGCAAAACCATCTGGCATGGTTCACCTCTATCTAGGTAGACTTATTCTTTCGTTTTACCTGACAAGCATTTATATAACTGCTATCACTGGCAAGGCCCAGACCTTCATATTATCTGGAACTTAGAATTTTCAACATTTTGAGGATAACAGATGATTACTACATGGTGTCTATTAATTATCCCCAATTTTTCATCTCTTTAAAGTATGTCTTTTCTTGATATTTCCATACACATTCAGAAGATGAATAAACAGGAAAGAGAACATAGGCCATACTAATAATTAGACC
This sequence comes from Homo sapiens, assembly GCF_000001405.40. Classification (NCBI taxonomy): domain Eukaryota; kingdom Metazoa; phylum Chordata; class Mammalia; order Primates; family Hominidae; genus Homo; species Homo sapiens. The sequence continues at coordinate 98,347,912 of NC_000006.12, read as the reverse complement.
TCATAATTACTGAGTGCTGAGCACACGCCAGGCACCATAGTGTGTGTTTTAGGCACATTATCTAATGTAATCCTTATAAAAATCCCATGAGGTAAGCATTAGTATCTCCATTTACATTTGAAGAAATCAAGTGTAGCAATGTGCCCAAGCTCATCTAACCAGACTGCCTAGCCAGGATAGGCACTCACAGCCTCCCCATCTTTGGTAGTTATGTCTCTACCTCCTTCCTGCTCCAGCTTTAGGATGAAAAGAAATGTGGACTTAAAGCATAGCTTTGTGTATCTGCCCTAGGATTGTGTCACTGCCAGTAGCTTTAGCTATATGTGTAGCCACACAGCTGTGACAGAAAAGTAGATTTTTAAAGAAGTAATGTTGCAAGTTTTTCTTGAAAAGGTTTTCTTTAATGAATATGCCTTTTTTGTCTCACTAGGCCGTCAATTTCCTCCTGATTTTTCTCTCCATGTTTACCTTAAAGAATAAATTATTTCATGTCACCTGAATCGGCTTAGTAATTTAGAGGAAAATCTGGCTGATAAATCATCTCTAAATAGAAGAATAAAACTTCTCTTAATTCAAGGAAAAAATATGTAAAAGTAACTGTCCGCTGGCAAAAACAACTATTAATTCTGAGAGGTTATCTGAAGAGAATTCCCAACATAAAGGTAGGGTGTAAGGTGACTCTAATCTTTGAAGAGAGGCTATCATTGTCTGAATGATTTTCTGTTAGTAATGAAGACCCAAGAAAATAAAGGTTAGCATTTTATATATTGGGAAAACAATATAATTGGGAAATATAATTGGGAAAACAAAAGAAGAGAGAGGAGAAGACAGAAAGAGAAGAAGTAGAAGAAAACAATTTATACCTCTAAGAAGGAACCCTTAGCCTACTCATCAATGTTCATTTCAATCCTCATTTGTCATCCTTACTTCAGTTACAAATTTCTTTTGAAAAGCCCATCCTAAGAAGGCCTTTCTCTGGCCACATTACTTAAAATGGCATCTGCATTTCCTATTTCTTTACTCTTTTTAACTTTTCTAATAATTATCAATTGCTATTTTAAAAATATTTAAATATCTTTCTTCTTGTTTATTGTCCATTTTCCCCATTAGGATATCAGCTTTATGAAACAGAGACTACATTTTATTGATTGTCTATCCACAACTCCTAAAAATAAACCTGGTATAAGGAAGGCCTTCAACATATTTTTATAGAATGTAAATCCATGTATTGAAACATAAATATGTTTATTCAAGTATTAGAATTTTTAAATTGCATATACTCAGCAAATAAACCTAGGCAACTAGGTTGCATTCAAAGTTGTCATACACACTAATGTACGTACAGTTATGAAAAATTTCTATTCCTTTTTAATAATGATCTGAGTGCCAGCTTGTCTTATGCAATAGATTATACATTATAGGTACACAGAAAGAAGTTCAGATAATACAGATAACCTGATCATAGTATAGAACCAATAAAATGGGGAGAATAACAAATGACAAGAACAAAAGAAAGGGCCAAAGGAACTTGGTCACTTCGATAAAGATGGCTTGCTGACACTAGGCCTCATATGTCTTTGGGATGCCCAACTTATAACTACAAGGGAATGACACTGTAGTTATTGTTTTTTCATAAAAGTTTGGACTTGATTCTATACTACATAATATATTCTTACTGCTATAACTTCAATGCTGTGGGAGCCAAAACAAAACAAAAAAAACCCCGATATTTTAATGTTTTGTCTGATACTGAACAAAACGGCATATCCACCTTCGATTTGTGGTACCACGAAGTGTATTATAACAGCGTTCTTTGGTCTATACTCTTCCTTCTTACTCCCTAAAGCATTAGTTCTATTGATGTGAATACTCTGATTCATAATATTTTGGACTCTAATTATTTTCCTCATTATTTCAGTGCAACCATGCAAATTAATACAAGCTATAAATGTGAGGTTTAAAAGAAATGAGGCCAAGCCAAGAAGATATTGGTACACAAGCAATAGGATTTTAAAGGAAAAAGGAACCATAGCTCCTTGGTCTAATATTCCTCAGATACTATTCCTCATTAGCATTGGGTCTATCATCTCTGGCAGGAAGCAGGAAATGGAGAGAATGGCACTTTGTGGGTTCTCCCATGTCTATCAGAATAAGTCACAAAGAAATACTTTGAAATGCACAGTCCAAATACCATGATGATAAATGAAAAAAATGCCAGAGAGAATCAAAGGGACACAGCTTTGGAGTGCCTGAAAAAAGACTGTAGCTCAGTTCTCACAGGCCCCAATGTACTGCAGTTCCCAGCGCATGACTGTGAAACACTCATGCTGTGTATCAAGTTGATGTACAAGAAAGAGACCTGGGCCCGTAGATGCAGGGTGGATTTCCCAGTCATTGCTTCTAAGTCCTGGGGCCTCAGGCAAGGCTCATTTGTAACATCTGGACTATAACATCTACTTCGCAGGGAAGTGGTTAAGCTTACATGAGGTAAAATGCAAAAACGCACAGCATGGAGTTTAGCCTCAACTAGTCTGCGTAAATGTGGCCTTACTCTGAAGGTACATCTAAAGTAATGGGTGTTTTAGAGGTGGAAACATGAAGTAATTAGACTATCCTTTGTGACTTCTGGAAATCAGATTATAATTATAGTTTGCACACATAAGTAAACGTGTGAATCATTTTCATAACTATGTCTCAAGAGTAGAAGAAATATTTCCTCTAGTAGAGGCTATAAACAAAGACTAAACTAAGGGCTTGAAGGTCATGATTATGATGTATGCTCCTTGGTACTTCTCCATGCCACCTAGCAGAGTGTTGATATTTAATAATTATCTACTTAACTTAGTGTAATTGACAGAGGAAGAAACATGAGGAGTCCCTGGTGAAAATTTCTATAAATGCTCTGATTTTCAAAAGATTGCCAAATCCTTAGGATACCCATCAACATAAACTATGTTAACTTGTGATAATCAATAAGCCCCAAATCTTGATAACTTACAATTTCTTTCATATTCCTGTTACATGTCCATTGTGGGTCAATTGCAGCTCTGCTCCCTTTCTTTGTTCTGGGAGCCAGGCTGATGGAGTATCACTTTTCTGGAATATTGCCAGACTTGCAGCAAAGGGACAAGCATGTGGGGAAACTACAGAATGGTCTTTAAAACTTTTGTTTTGATGTGTCATGAACCTTTCTGTGCACAATTTCATTGGGGAAAAAATAAAAAATTCACGTGGCCACTCCTGATGTATGATCCTTTTGCTTGGAGGGGCACTTCCAGTTACATGACTAAATCTGAAGTCATGGGGAAGTATAATCCATCCCCACGGGAAGGCAGCAAACACTTTGAACAATAATATAGTATAACACGGTTTAAAAAAAGAACTCTGAAAACAAAGACAAAGTAAGAAACAAATTCCTACATTACCTTCTGGAACTGCAGAGTTCAAACTAAATTAACACTTAATTAACAAGTAAAAAAAAAGCCAATACGTTGTATGTATATGTTTATACTTTTAAGGAACATGACCTCATGCTCATTTTTGTTACTAACACAATGGCTGCTATCCTTTAACCCCAGTGTGTCAGCTTGATTACTGAAGAGAGAGAATGAAAACTTTCTCCCTGAACATCACACTAAAACGTGGTGCCTGCCACAGACGAAGACCTGAAATCTCTTCGTCTACCTGGTGTCTCCTTCTTGTCAACTATCCCACATTTGAGTACTTAGCTTAAAATTGAATGATTGTAAATAAAATATTTTTGTATCATAAAAAAGAGCAAGTTACATAATTTCTCATTAAAGAGTATCCTAAGAACCATGTTCTGTATTTTGTCTAGAATTATCAGCTCTGATTTTTCAATGAATCTTTAACCATTTGCCTCTTCATTACATTCCATGAACCAGGTAATAATGATGTCATTTATTTTGGTTTGTCCTATTATCTCTCTCTGTGTGTGTGTGTGTGTGTGTGTCTGTTTGTTGCTCATTCAGGCCTCACAGGAATGCATCCATAGGCAAGTTCTCTGAATGAGGTGTGATTGCTTTCCTCAGAAAATTACTTTGCACTTTAATTATTTTTCTGACATTTTTACCAATAAATAATCAGAAATTTTCAAACAGCACAACATAGAGTTCGAACTCTGAGCCTGGAGGTTAGGAAGACTTTCATTTATCTCTGTCCACATGATATGAGTTATTGGTTACTTGCTTTTCAACAACAACCCATTATAGGAAAATTATATTCTAAGGTAGTTGTACTTAATGAATTTTGCTTAATCTTTGCCTACATTTGATTTGCCAAATCTCACACTCATGGCATTTTCTTCTTTTTTTTTTTTTTTTATTGATAAAAGCTGCAGATTGTCCTGAAAAGCTATTATAGTTCAATATGGCTGTCTTCCTTGACATTTACATGGATCTCAACTTTATTTATTTTACTGCATAGTACCTAGCTGCCTGGCTGGAGAAATGAAGATCGCACATTCAGCAATTTATGCAATCCCAGTCAAAAGACTATTTTACTGTCTGTTGAATAATTAGCAATGTGTGTGAAGAAAGAATATACAGTAACTTGCCTGACTTTGGGCAAAAAAAAAAAAAAAAGATTAGAATGACAAATAGTCAGACTCTAGGGTCAAATGCTTTGCCAGTAGTTGCATATGTTTATGCCAAAATACATAAAGAAATGTCACTTCAGCACATGAGTGATGACAAACACTCCAAGTGGGGCTGCAGTTCATCAATCATTTCAAATGTGCAGATTGGGTTTACCTATATAAACAAAAGCAATAAAACTACTCAAAGCCTCACCTTAAGCAATTCAAGCATGACATAAACACAGTTACTGCACAGTCAAGCCCCATTTTACTTGAGAAGCAGTCAGAAATACTCCAACAAACTATGATTTATTAAGATTAATAAACCACGTCTTTAATAAAAAAAGTTCTGCTAATATTTTGCATAAGTATGAGAATCTCATTCAGCATCATAGCACACCAGAAAGCATATGCAGCAGGGAGTGTGATTAATGAACCTTAAAACTGTAGATTCGCAGTCATTCTCAACAAGGTTTCAGGTTCAGGGTGGTAAGCATAGAGAGAGCTTGAAGCAAGAATCCACAACAGGTAGGCTGCTCTAAGCTCAGTTTTAATGATTCATTAAAAAGAAGGTGAATTAATAAAACTATTACATGTTTCCAAGTCATTTTTTTCTCCCCAGGATGCTTTTGAAACATTGATCCTTTAAACACCTGCTAATGTCTTAGGAGAGTGAATACCTTATTATGGTCCCTCCTTGGTAAAGAGAAGGAGAAGAAGGTCAAGGTCATAGGATTGTGGCTCAGAATTGAAGTCAGAAGTTTGTTCAAGGTTACCTATCACACCTCTTCTTTGAGAAGGTGCATTTGTAAGCATGAAACCTGTGTTCTTGTTCTCCTATTCCACCTGCATGCTGTGTCTGACACTAATGCTATGATTGGCTCTCTAGAAGACACAAGTGGAAGTGGAAGTCAGCCATGCCACTACTACATAATTAAGAAAGATTTGGCTTAGAAGAAGCAACACAATCTACTAATAACCAATGAAGGCTCTTCTGTATCTGCCCATAGAGAAGTTAAATGTTTTTATTTGTATTAATTTAAAACATTTCTTATTGATGTATAATTGACAAATAAAAATTGTCTTTTATGGTGTACCATGTAATGCTTTGATACATGTATATATTGTGAAATGATTACCACACTCAAGCTAATTAACATATCCATCACCTCGCATAGTTACAGTTTGTGTAAGTATGTGGTTAGAAAATTTAAGATCCATTCTCTGAGCAATTTTCAAGCACACAATGCATTACTGCCAATTATGGTCACCATGCTATAAAACAGGTCTTCAGAACTTATTTATCCTGTTAACTAAAACTTTATAACCCTTGACTGACACCTCCCAGCGTTAAGTGTTCTGATTCCTGAAATGAGGGACTTGGCTTAGTTGAACTATACATTCTCTCAAATTTCAACGCCAATTTAACAAGAAGTGAGCAGGATTTTCTTTCCTTAATTTCACTGAACTTTTAAGATGTAATTGAATGACACAGGGGAAACTCTCTGTTCAGGGTATAATTGGAAGATCTTAATCCTTGTGACAATTTTTCCTTTCATTGGGCCAATTTTATAGATTTAGAGGGGTTAAATAATTCAGAGAAGATTTAACCCATATTTGAAATGAACTAAATCCCTTATGAGAGTTCATTTTGTTGCTTCCTGAAAAGTAGAAACAAACTCAGTGGGCCTTGATATACTTTCATTAAGGTGTGACCTGATTATAATATTCAAACTGAAAAGTTGATTGAAATAAATTTTTCCAACACTCCAAAATGATAAAATATAGGAAATACGTACTTAGACATAACAGAAGACTGCTACTTTAAAGTGGCTACAAAATAATTGGCTTGCCTAATTGACCATTATTACATTACATCCGCATTCCTTGGAAATAACAACACACTAGGAATCAAGGGAACAGAGCACAATCCTCATCTGCCACAAATTCAATAACCAATTGAACATTTGCTGGGCAGAGACAAACTGAAAGCTGTGAGAAATTCAAAGATGAAACAAGACCCTGCCTCCAAAGAATGCACAGTCCAATGAGAAAAAAAAAAATTAAAGTTGGAGTTGTCATCTAGAAAAAGAAGAGCCTTGTTTCATGGAAAGCTTTATGTAAACTTTAACTTCTTCAGTGTCTAGACCCAATTACTTCGAAACTCATTCAAGTTGAACTTAAATTGCTGATTTTCAGCCTCTTTTTTTTTTCCAGGCGTTATTAGATTTTAATTTAGCTCTTCCCCTCAAACCTGTTTGCATCAAATTAAAAGAGCAAGTGGAATTTTTCTTGACAAGCCTAAGAAAGCAAATTGGTCTGATAGGCTATACTCAAGCACAGTTAACAGCTCAATTTGTTGTGGGAGCTGTGCCATATATTGTAGAATACTTAGCATCGTCCCTGGCCTCTACCCACTAGATGCCAATAGCCCCCACCTCCAAGTTGTGAAAACCAAAAATGTCTCCTGACATGGCCAAATATCCCCAGGAGCTGGGAGAGAGGAGAAAAATAACCCACGGTTGACAACTGGCATAGAATGACATCCAGAAGGAGAAAAAGTCAAACCAAGGATATGTTATTAAACTACTCACCAGCTTAATAACAACTGGGAACAACTGGCAACTGGGGCTCTGTTTTGCTGGGGACCTCTGAGTATATAAGATGTAACTATGCTTTGTTTACCTGAAGGATGCAAGAGGGGTGTATTTATCTACTGGATCAAATCTGTCATCTGTCGAGGGTCACCCTGTAGGGGACTGATGCCTTGCACTCCTTTGTGATTGTGCCAGAATGGCTTGGTTGGCTCAGCGTCAGAACGGCTTGGTTGGCATTGTACAAGTTATGAAAAACCTCTAGGTCAGAAAGTAAAGAAATGCTGCTGAGGCCCAGGTTTCTGGTTACACCTGTGTGAGACTGGTGCCATAGCCATAGTTGGAGTAGAAAGTGGATAGAAGGGATGTAAGGTAGGGTTGAAAGGGTGTCAGATGTAACCTAAAGACACATTATGTTACATTTAAGACTTTGGATATTTCTTCTTTGTATGCATTTAGAGGAGAATAGGCGAACATATTTTGGTTTATATATGTAATTCAGGACTTTTTCCTCTGTAGAAAGCAAGAGCTACAGTTACATGCACCCAGGAGACACAGAAAAGTATCCACAGTGTAGAATGTGCCAAAAATAGAGACACTATATTAAAATTAATATTCACCCCAGTCAACGACTCTGGATTTTGCCCTTTAATTCATGCATTTAAAATGTATTTAAACTATAATATCAGGTAAGAGAAACACATAGATATTATGTCAAATTCTTACAGAGTAGTAAAATGTGAGGTGCATACAAATAAGATTAAAAGTATGAAATCCAATTAAAATTTCACAGGAAATTTGCTGCAAGGATATATTTAGTAAAAAAGCCTAATCACAATTTTTCAAGTAAAATTTACATTTGTATTTGAATTTTACTTTTTTAAAGAAGACATTTAGCTTGTCGGGTGCATGTTTAACTAAATATATATTTACATTGTTAAATGATAAGAATATGTGCATATATAGATATACACATATGTATGCATTTATACACATGCTCAGGATTCTTTCCCATTTTTCATTTAGCTTATTAAAAATGAATACAAACAGACTCTGAGCTCCAGGACCCTCTAAGAGCTTATAGCCTGTAGCAGCTTTCAAGATAACAGCTTCTTTAACCAGAGGAGTTCTGACTTCTCAGTCAGGCTGTTTGAAGTTTCCAAGGCTTGGGGAGAGGGTGGTCTTTTCAGAAAAAAAAAAGCCAGTATTTCAAAGAAAAGACATACCTTTTTCCCCCTCTTTAGTGCCAAGATTTGAAATTCTCTGAAAAGTAAAAAAAAAAATCTTCCCTTTAAAATGTAGTATTTCCCTGAAGACACCCGTCCCTCAGCCGGGCAGACTCCAGGCATGCTCCCTACCAAGGACTCTGTGCCCAGAGGCTCTGGGCCATACCCTGAAACCAACCATTCCAATAGGGTTCTTCTCATAGTGACCACCTAAAATCAGTTATCCTGAAAGGGTTCCTTATTTCAGGAAGTTTACCAGACATATAAATTATGTTGGAATGGTACTCATTAGTTGGTTAATGTAGATGATTTATTCTCAAATATCCATAAACTATTTCTTTAATCTGGACTTGAAAAATTCGTATTTAAAGAAAAAAATTAATTTAGGTTGGTAAAACAATATTAAATTGTAATATACAGTAGTATTTTTCTTTACAAATCCCTAAAGCAGCTACTAAAGGTAATTATTCTGAAAGAGGAAGAAAACCTGGTGTCTGCACACTTGCCTGACTTTAGGCAACTTACTTAACCTGTTGGGGTTTGGACTTTCTCATCTTCAGATGAAGCCATGTCACAGGATTGTTGTGAATATTAAATGATGTAATGTCTACAAAACACCTGACATTGAGAAGGCATTAACCTGAACTTGTACTAGTCCTTTTCTCCATCATCTAGTCATAGAAATTATCAGTCTAATGTGACATCTTCAGTCTCATTTTATATATTTGTAAAAGAGCAACAAACATGTATTTCAGAGGGTTGTGGAAAGAGTAAATGAAGTGGCCTATATAAAGCACTTGCACAGTCCTTGCCTGATGATAATTGCTCCACACACATTCGGTAGCAAGTGGTGGTAATTCAGAGTAGTTGTGGAGCAACTTCATTATCGTCACAATCACGATTAACAGAACCAAAAAGCATCTGGACTGTGCACGGCATTGTGCTGTGTTAAGTGCTGGGGGTTGAGTGTTAGGGAGCATTGGCCTATAAGAAGAAAAGGCATACAAATATGAGAGTACTTTGACAAATTAACATACAAGTAATGAAAGACAAATACAGACTTTAAGTGACAGAGAAGTAGCAAGAAAGGAAAAATTACTTTTTGCAGGAGTATTTGGGGAAAGAGATGATGAGAAATGAGACCTAATGTTGAAGAAAAGGTAGAATTTATTTGAGTGGCAGAGAAGAAAGGAGATATTTCCGTTAGGAAGTAATGATAAAATGATAGAAAGGCACATTGTGTTTTAAGAGAACAAAGGATCAACCGGTTTGTCTAGGGCAAGATGTCATGGAAGAGACACATTAAGAGTGAGAGAATCCAAAGGGGCTTAATGTTGAGGAGTGTCAGGGACCAGGCTTAAGAGTTTTATTCCCTTCTCCAGGAAGAGAAGGTTAATGGAAAGGTTTTGAACAGCAAAATGACAAGTATAGCCAAATTTTAGGAAGATCGAGTACAAAATACTTAAATTTTTTCCTAAAATTGCTTAGCCAATTCAAAAGTAAATATGTTGGCTGGTAATAACTACTTATTCCAAGTAGATCTCTTAAAATTTAATTTCAAATATGAAAAACTATTGCCTCTCCTAAGATATATTGCAAAGCTGGGTGTTTACTCTGGCTCAGCTGGGGACACAATTCTCATTCTCTCTCTCTCTCTCTCTCTCTCTCTCTCTCTCTCCCTCTCTCTCACTTTCATCTCTTTTTTTGCCTCTACGCCAGAGAGAGACAAAGACATTTACTAAGTAAGGGCCCTTTATAGAGAATAATATGTACTTCTAAACTTCTATAACAGGTTATGGGAATTTTTTGACAAAATTAATGCAGCAGTGTAGGAAAAGAAAGAGAAGCAGAATAACGAGAAAAGAAACAAAGCCAGGTGGTAGTTACGCACACTTAGTTTGAAAGCACTAAACCAAGGACTAGACATTTAGGAATAAAAATAAATAAAAACTAGCTCCTTTTGTGGGAGACTAAAGCTGGGAGAATTTGAAGCAATGAAACCTTTAGTTTGAGCTTAAGGGTTACCTTTCTTGAAGCTGTCCAGAGTAGCTTGGACACAGGCAGCGCTCAGTCATTGATAGTGAGCTCAGCCCTGAATACATTTTATCAGAGACACTTCTATCCCCCACTCAGCACAATGGCAGAATTGGATCTCTTAGAAAAGATTTGAACTCAGTATTCAGTCATAAGATTAAGAAATGGAAAGACAGGTATCTTAGCTCTAGCTATCTTAACAAAAACCATATACTGGGTTACTGAAACTACAGATATATGTCTTCTTATCATACTGGAAGCTGGAAGTCCAAGATCAAGGTTCCTGCAGAGTTCTGTTTCTGATGAGGGCCCTCTTCCTGGCTTGCAGATAGCTGCATTTGACTCAAGATGAGCACTATGGTGTCTTTTCTTTTCTTGTAAGGTCACCAGACCTGTTAGATTAGGGCCCTACTCTTATGGCCTCATTAACCTTAGTTACCTCCTTATAAACCCTATGTCCAAAGACAATCATATTGGTAGTTAAGGCATCTGCCTATGAGTTTGCGAGACACAAGTCAGTCCATTGCAATAGGGATTTAGAAAATTTCAGTCTAAATTCTAGTTTGATAAATTATTATCTGTGTGTCCTTGGGTTGATTATTTAAACTTCTTGAGTCCCACATTTCCCACAGTAAAAGGAAAGACGATGAAGGAATATTGCTGAGCTAGAAACTTCTAAGGACTCTCTTAGCTTTAATATTCCCACATTCTACAATTACGAATTTTGGTATAAACTGGTTTCATAGGTTCATTCAAAAAAAGGGAAAGAAACCTTGGTAGAGCCAATGTAAATGTAACCATAAATGTAACCAGTCAACAGCTGGAATGGGGTGACCGCAGCAGCAGATGAACTGGGCTGGCAAGCTTCAGGTTAGGATGTGACTGCTCATTTACTTTAAAAATATCTGGATTTCTGTTACCAAAACCCTGTCTCTTTTGGAAAACAAACAAACAAGTATTCCAACCAGGTTTATTTGATAGGAACCAAAGCATAATGGATTCTGACCCACTCTCACTGTTAATCTTTGAATGCACATCTTTGTTGACAACAGCACATTCTTTGCAACTATCGTTATCAAAGTTAGCTGGAATCACTTTCTACCTTATCTAGTACTACTTAATAAATAACTTCAAAAGTCAAGAATAACAAGTACAGTGAGCTTGTCAGAGAAACAATGATAAGTCATGTTTAAGATAGTTTAAAACTTGTGGTTGATGGAGAAACTTTGAGACAAACATTGTGGGTCCAGTGAAAAAGTATGACAGTGATTGTCATAGCATTTTTCTCTATTCCATTGAATTCTATTGTATTAGAAACCAAAGAACATATCAATAAAGCCACTCTTGTCTGATTTATTATAGCTACCAGAATTCACCCCCAGCCTAACAGATCCAAGATCACTGTCAGCCCTGAGGAGGCAGGAGAGATGCAAATCTGAGAGATAAAAGTGAAAAACTCAGCACTGCAGAAGTAAGGATTATTGGATAGAGTTTCTCCATCTAGCATCCCAACTAGTGAGTAATACCTTCTGCCTCTTTAAGGTAACTATTTATTTGCCTTAGTATGGACAGAGAACATTTGCTTTGGCTTAAAAAAAAAAAGAATGTGTGCTCTAATGGAAGAATCAAATTATATCAGAAAAGGAAGCACTTTAAGCTTTATTGCTGTAGATCACTCTGCCTCCAGCTGTGAAACTGATTGATGTTTAAAGCCCCTGAGGCACTGGCAGCTGTGGTGGCTGATTCAAATAAGAAAAAAATACAGTGTGTGAGTGTGCATGTGGGTGTGAGTGGAATGAGTGTGCAAATGTGTGTAGGTGGGGAATAAGCTATACATTTATTTTAAAAACTTTCCTCTGAAGATTTTTTAAATAAAATTCTTCTAAAATAGATAGATGGATCAAAAGATACATGTATAATAGCTACTTAGATATTTAAGCAGGGAAATAGAAAAGCATATATATATGTGTATATATATATATATGTATGTGTGTGTATATATATATCTGGAAAGAGAGAGAGAGAGAGAGAAAGAGAGATCCATCTATATGCTCAATTAGATGATCTTTTACTTCCGTGCCACCAAAGGAAGGGCAGATGAGTTATTAAAGGAACCAAGTTTAGGTTAGAGAGTCAATAAGTGATTGCAAGGTATAATGAATTGAACTGAATTAAAAAGATACCTACCCTAGAAGTACTGTTCCACTCTTGCTTTCCTGATGCAACAACTGGATACAGAGATTCATTATATGGCACTGCTGGGACAAGGCACTGCTGGGAAGGACCCAGCTTCAATCAAATAAACCAAATAACTGTTAAATGCACTCTTTCTACCCAGCATTACAGCTGCAAACAGAAAGGGTGGGTTTGGAAGAATCTCTGTCCCCACATTCCAAGTGGATACCCAGCAAGAACATTTGGCATTGGTTACACTTGCATAAAACATGTCAAGACTTTCTTACTCTCTTGAAAAATTTACAGATTTTTTCTATGACTCTACTCTTTTGTGCTCATTCCAAAAGGGCTAAAACATAACTTGAGAAAACATGTTCTCTTTATTGAAGGAGTTGATGGGAAAAAACAGTTCATGTTTATTTGTGTACAATAAATAAATCCTCGAAGAGAACAATTTTGAAAGAGAAGATATATAGTCTAGCACATACAATGTAAACTCCTTTAATAGGACTAAAGATATGTTAAAAAATAATAGCCCAAACCAGGTCAGGATCATCTAGTATGGGCTGGTTACAACTCTTATCTTAGGATGAATTTTTGCTCATAAGAGTGTAATAGTGTTTTTAATTGTACCTCTTAGCACTCTTCAGTGAACACTTTTCCCAGGGAAAAAACCCTCCTAATCCCATTATAAGCCTGCAGTTTTCCTTCCTGCTGTCTGCTAAAGGCTTTCTGCACGTAGCCTTCGAAATTTTTCAGCTTACCTCTTTTTTTAAAAAATAATTTCATTCTTGCATGGTGAGTTAAATAGTTTAAATTGATTTCTGAGACCTATCTTTCTGGAAATTAATTTAAAAATTTATTAAGAACATTTCAAAGGAATGTTTGTGTTTCTTTTTTCTCACTCAAAACTTTTATATAATTTCAAGCTCCCCTCACAGGTCTTGTAAATACAGCCCTCAAAAGACAAGTCAAAAAGGAATGAGCTATTTTTATCATAAAATATAAAACTGTATCATTGTTGTGTAGACATATATTGCTAGCACCTTTCTAGTGGCATAACTAAAATGGAGAAGAATATGGCCATTGTGCAAGATGTGTCTTGAATTATTTTGTTTCTTTTGTAGAATATTCTTTTTCCTTCTACTGCATATGTTAATATAATTCTTTTGCAGTTCAGGTGATAAACACTCCAAATCAGACATTTATTCTCCATTATCCATTTGGATTGAGTCACTATTTGCCATGGCACATGTCGTCCTGACTACTTATCAATAGCAGCGGTTAAATCGGATTGAATAAGTTTCAACAAGAGCACTACGTCTGGAGTTTCTATATAAGAGGGATTAGGGTGAAAAGCTAGTTGCAGGGATAGCTACTTGTCTTGAGGCTGCATTTGTTTAGAAAATACACTGTTTTAAACATGACCTTGTATTATTTAGAATGTCTTCAGGGTGGCAGGCTTGCTGTGGTTTGAATGTCTGGGGTCCCACGAAAAGTCGTATGTTGGAACCTAATACCCAATATGAGTCTTTTTGAATGTGTGGTCTTTGGGAGGTGATGAGGCCATGAGGTGGAGCCTTCATGAATAAGATTAGTGCCCTTATAAAAGAGACCCAGAGAGATTTATAGCCTCTTCCGCTATGTGCAATTACAGTGAGAAGATGGCCATCTATGAGAAAGTGGGGCCTCACCAGACACTGAATCTGCTGGCTCCTAGATCTTGGACTTCTCAGCCTTCTGAACTGTGAGAAATCTGTTTATTGTTTATCAGACTCCCAGTTTATGTTATTTTTATTATAGAAGTGCCAATGGACTAAGATAAGGCTTTAAGCTACATCAAGGCTCTGCTAATTATCCATGGAGACACTCCCACCCATCATTCTGCACTTTTGAACCCTTCTCTTCCAAATCAGTCCGCAAAAGGAAGTGCAATTAAGCTTGCTGACATTCAGTGACCCACAGTGATGTACAGGGAATGTGGTAATACTAGGAAAATAAATAACACAAATGCTCTCATTATGGATTGTGGAACTCTGTATCACCTTGTGTTTTTATCCTCTTATTTTCTTTCAAAGTTTTCACATACATTATTTTATTGGACCATTTGCTCCTTCAACAGATATTTAACTGTTATCTAGATGATAGGCTCTTAGGAACTGAATGTATGTTGATGGGCATGACATCAGTACATATAAAACAGGCATGGTTCTATACAATCATGGAGCTATAGCAGGGTGGAGAAACATTGCATACCTAACTATAAAGCAAATTATTTAACTATAGTTATTTTTAATGTTTTCAAAAGGGGCAAGTGCCTGAACTTTCTTTGTCTTTGTGGATACAGAAGATTTCTCAAAGGAAATGATAATTAATGAGGATCTTCAAGATGAGTAAGACTTTGTTAGTTTAAGGGTTGTCATGATTATGATGGTAACACTTCAAGCAGAAGGAGATCGTTTACTAAGACCACACAAAAGACAAGAATGATCTGGTCCTTCTGAGGAAAAAGAAGAATGTCAGCGTGGTTGAAACCTCAAGAATGGACTGAGTAGGAGAAGCCAATTCTCACAATAACTCTTTAAGGAACATAAACAGGCATAGTGTCTGATGTCCTAACAGATGCAGGTGACAAACGTGACCAGATCAGTCTTTGCTCTTCCCCTTCCCTAATCCTATTCTTGCTTCTCTAGTATTGTTTGTATTTCTGCCACACATCTAGTCGTATTCTTGGGTTGTAAATAACAGAAATGTTCACTGATGACTTTATTGAAAAGAGACTGAGTAACTTATAAAACTGAAGGAAGAATTAAATAATCAGGACTTAGATAGAGGAAGGACAAGAGAAAGTCCCAAGAACTGAGTAATAACAATTCACAGAATGTAACTTTAGGCCTTTTCATCAAGCTACCCAGTTTTAACTTTGTTGTGTCCTAGGAGAAAAAGGTCTGATTGGCCTAGCTTGGGCCAAGTGTCCTTGGGTTTACCAGAGGAAAGGTCCTGGGATTGCCCGTTCCAGGAGAATTCGAAGAGGGGTAGAAAGGAGGAGTTCACTAAAGGAAGCTATATATATATACTAGCTATACTAGACACGGACTGATTACCTAGAGGCAGGTTGCTACCACCTTCTATGTTCCCATTTTACTTGCAGCTAAGCTCCTTTTAGTGTCTACCGGCTGCTGCTTTGCAGAATTACTACAGCTAGAAATGTGCAGGTCTATAACTAAGAAGTGAATTTTTAACGTAAATTCAAGAGCTTTGTGTCTCTGAATTTCTGGCTAGAAATAGTGACTGAAACCCCCAGGAACCCCAGTTTCCACATCTCCAGAAGATATTTATGCAATGAATTCTTTTGGGAAAGTGATGCTTGGGTTATTATCATCAGTCAGATAAACAAGGGCTCCTTGTTTTTAAACATTTTGGTCACTTCTATTTTTATTTTCCAATGAATCATTCTTTTAAAATCACATTTTACTTTTTAAATGGTGGATTTCACAAAGGCAGCACAAATGCCTGTGAGAACAACTATGACCTTAGAAAAGAAACTTTGATAGTGGAAGAGCTGATAGTCTTATTTTTTAAAATATCTTTTTGTTAATTTTTGGGAATATTATGTTTATTTAAAAATTCTAAGACTACTAGTAAAATATACATAAGAAAAAATCAACCATAATAAGATAAACACTATTTATATGTGGATATACTCCTCCCATCTTTTATTTGTATATTTATATTTTTAAAAAGTGGGATTATATTGTACGTAGTTTGTGTTTTGCTTTTCTCACTTAACATTAGACAATGACCATTTCTCCAGGTCGTTAATCTTCAACAGCATATTCTTTCAAATGGCTGCTTAGAATTCTATATTATGGATAAACTACAATTTATTTAACCATTTCTCAACTGATAACATTTAGTAAGGTTGTAAATTTTGTTATATCGTTGCAATCAGTATTCCCAGTACATAAAACTCTACATGTACATTTGATTATTTTGATAGACTATATTTCTAGGAGTGCAATTACTAGTAGAAATATTTTCATCAGAAAATTGGGCAATGAACGTATGGAGCCCTGGAACCAGTTTACCACTCCTCACAAAATACATTTTGGAGAATTTGGGAAAATGCAGAAATGTATGTGAAAGAAAAAGAAGAAAAATCCTCTATAATCTCACTGGTGAGAGGGAACAGTGACGAACATTCTAGTTCTAATTCTTTTCAGTATTTTTCTATACATCTATGTGTACATGTATTGCATGTGTGTATGTTTACACATAAAATGCATCTTTGCTTTCTCTATAGTACTCTTTCCAGCTTTATTCATTTTATTATACAATAGTCTTTAAGAATTTTTAGTAATGGTTAACAATATTCTATTCTATGGATCTTGTGTTGAATACTTAGGATGGATAATCCAAATTTTTATTATACATAGTGCTTTAATGAACACTTGTATATAAATTTTAGTGTATGACTCTGATGAGAATCTTGGCATTAATTTCTAGAAGTAGAACTATCTGAGCAAAAAGCATAAGTATTGTGCTTGACATATGTTGCCAAATTGTCTTTCAGAAAGATTTTAGCAATTTATCATTCCACTAGCAATGTATGAGAGCATCCATTTGTTTCTACCTTTTTTAACATTGAATACTACTAATAGTTTCTAATCTTGACTATTGAGTATTCAAAAGGGGTTTGTTTCTTCAATTTACATGTCTTTGATAACTAATGATTTTGACTTTTTATATTAAATGTACATTTGTATTTTTCTTTTATGATTTTCTGGTTTAGCATCGTTGCAATTTTTTAAATTGAGAGATTCCTCTTTTCCTTATTGACT
The DNA here is from genome assembly GCF_000001405.40 of Homo sapiens. NCBI lineage: Eukaryota > Metazoa > Chordata > Mammalia > Primates > Hominidae > Homo > Homo sapiens. Next base: position 98,330,445 of record NC_000006.12, on the reverse strand, counting down.
TATAAGAGCCATATAATAAAAGCAGTAACACTTTCTGCAAGGAAAAAATCAAGCAGCTAGACTCCCTGTGTTCTCAAAGAGTGATTCCAGGACTAGCTGCAGGGACAGTTGGGAACTTTATTAGAAATGGAAATTCTCAGGACCCATTCCATCCCCAATGCAGCTGTGTCTTAACAAGCCTTTCGGGCTTGCTGATGCATGCTGAAGTTTGAAGGCCACCAAGTTAGAGAATCAAGATGTCTTCTCACACAATAGGATGTAATCAGTCCCTCCTGTGAATCTCTGTAATACCTGGTTTGCATTAAGTGAAACATATGAAATTGCTGATACGTTACTGCTTTTGAACTACAAAAATGGCAGTTTCACATAGTCCAACTTTTGAAATCTCTAAGAATACTTTTTACCAGAGACAATATTTAAAATGTTTATTTTTTTACTTTCCAAGGAACCATTCTTTTTAATTTGCATTTTACTTTTTAAATCGTGAATTGAAAAAAATAGCAGCACAAATGACTGTGAAGAATAATTATGAACTTAGAAAAGGAGCTTCAAGAAAACTGCAGACCAATATCCCTGATGAATATAGGTGCCAAAATCCTCAACAAAATATTAGCTAACTGAATGCAACAGCATATCAAAAAGATAATCTACCATCACCAAGTGGGTTTGTACCAGGGATGCAGGGATGGTTTAACATTCATGAGTCAATAAATGTGATATACCACATAACAGAATTAAAAACAAAAAAATCACATGATCATCTCAATAGATGGAGAAAAACATTTGACAAAATCCCGCATCCCTTTACGATTAAAACCCTCAGCAAAATCCACATAGAAGGGACATGACTTAAGGTAATAAAAGCCATCTAAGATAAACCCACAGACAACTTTATACTGAACAGGAAGAAGTTGAAAGCATTCCCCCTGAGAAATGGAACTAAGAACTGGAACAAGACAAGGACGCCCACTTTTACCACTTCTATTCAATATAGTACTGAAAGTCCTAGCCAGAGCAATTGGACAAGAGAAAGAAATAAAGGGCACCCGAATCAGTAAAGAGGAAGTCAGACTGTCACTGTTTGCTGATAACATGATTGTATACTTAGAAAACCCTAAAGCCTCATCCAAAAAGCTTCTAGAACTGGTAAATGAATTCAGCAAAGTTTCAGGATACAACATTAATATACACAAATCAGTAGCCCTGCTATACACCAACAGTGACCAAGCTGAGAATCAAATCAAGAAATCAACTCCCTTTACAATAGCTGCAAAAAAAAAAAAGAAAAAAAAATACTTAGGAATATATATAACGAAGGAGGTGAAAGACCTCTACAAGGAAAACTTCAAAACACCGCTGAAAGAAATAATGGATGACACAAATTGAAACACATCCCATGCTCCTGGATAGGTAGAATCAATATTGTGAAAATGACCATACTGCCACAAGCAATCTACAAATTCAATGCAATTCCCATCAAAATATCATCATCATTCTTCACGGAACTAGAAAAAAAAATCCTAAAATTCATATGGAACCAAAAAACAGCCCACATAGCCAAAGCAAGAATAAGCAAAAAGAATAAATCTGGAGGCATCACATTACCCAACATCAAACTATACTATAAGGCCATAGTGACCAAAACAACATGGTACGGGTATAAAAACAGACATATAGACCAATGGAATAGAATAGAGAACCCAGAAATAAAGCCAAATACTTACAGTCAACTAATCTTTGACAAAGCAAACAAAAACATAAAGTGGGGAAAGGACACCCTATTCAACAAATGGTGCTGGGATAATTGGCAAGCCACATGTAGCAGAAGGAAACTGGACCCTCGTCTGTAACCTTATACAAAAATCAACTCAAGATGGATCAAAGACTTAAATCTAAGACCTGAAATTATAAAAATTCTAGAAGATAACTTTGGAAAAACCCTTCTAGGCATTGGCTTAGGCAAAGACTTCATGACCAAGAACCCAAAAGCAAACACAACAAAAACAAAGATAGATGACACTTAATTAAACTAAAAAGCTTCTGTACAGCAAAAGAAATAATCAGCAGAGTAAACAGACAACCCAAAGAGTGGGAGAAAATCTTTACAATCTATACATCTGACAAAGGACTAATATCCAGAATCTACAAGGAACGCAGACAAATCAGCAAGAAAAAAACAAACCCATCAAAAAGTGGGCTAAGGAAACGAATAGGCAGTTCTCAAAAGAAGATATACAAATGGCCAACAAACATAGGAAAAAATGCTCAACATCATTAATGAAATGCGAATCAAAACCACAATGCAATACCACTTTACTCATGTAAGAATGGCCATAATCAAAATAATAGATGTTGGCATGGATGTGGTGAAAAGGGAACACTTTTACACTGTTGGTGGGAATGTAAACTTGTACAACCACTATGGAAAACAGTGTAGAAATTCTGTAAAGAACTAAAAGTAGATCTATCATTTGATCCAGCAGTCCCGCTCCTGGGTATCTACCAGAGGAAAATAAGTCATTGTATGACAAAGATACTTGCACATGCATGTTCATAGCAGCACAGTTTGAAATTGCAAAAATATGGAACCAGCCCAAATGCCCATCAATCAATGAGTGGATAAAGAAAATGTGGTATATATATATATATATATACACACACATACACACACACACATATATATACACACACACATACACACACACACACACACACACACACACACACATATATATATATATATACACACACAATGGAATACTACTCAGCCATAAAAAGGAATGAAATAATGCCATTTGCAGCAACCTGAATGGAACTGGAGACGATTATTCTAAGTGAAGTTACTCAGGAATAGAACATCAAATATCCTATGTCCTCACTCATAAGTGGGAGCTAAGCTATGAGGATACAAAGGCATAAGAATGATATGATGGACTTTGGGGACTCCAGGGAAAAGGATGGGAGTGGGTGAGGGATAAAAGACTACACACTAGGTACAGAGTACGCTGATCAGGTGATTGGTGCACCAAAATCTCAGAAATCACCACTAAAGGACTTAGTTATGTAACCAAACACCACCTGTTCTCTCAAAAAAACTATTAAAATTAAATAAATATATAAATAAATACATAAAAATAAATAAAAATTAAGTGGATGGCAAATAAAAAATAGAAATCATGATGAGGTTAATGCTCTGGAAATGAAACTTGTAGCCACATCTGTTTTCTTATTTAAAAATTCTTATTTAGGCATATTTAGAAGTATATGAAACCCATTAAAAATGAAAGTGAATAATCAACATAAGATTTAAAATAACATTTTCTGCACATGAAGAGAAAGGCTTGGTGTGACAGAAACCACAAAGTTAGATGTAAGTTCTAACTCTTTTCTTTTGAGGTAGGGGGTGATTCACTGTGTTAATTCTATTGTGGAAAATAACCAAATCAATTAATAAATAATAAAAGCAGACATGTAAGGATCATGATGATCATGCAAATTCCAATTCTGTGTTCCTCTAATCCAAACCAAAAAAAGAGTTAAAAGATATATATATATATATATATAGTTATGGAACAGAAGGGCCTATATATACACATAATTGGGGTTCTAGAGAATAAATTTTAAAATAGAAGAGATTGAAAAAAACAAAAATAAGCTTTGATATTGGAAAAGCTGATAGTCTTAATTTTTAATATGCTTTTTTGGTAATTTTTAGGAATGTTGTTTATTTTAAAATTTCAAGACTGCCAGTAAAATATACATAAGGCAATAAAAATTTCTTGTTTGAGATCTCATGAATCAGAAAGAGTTTCTTCACTGGGGTGGGGTCCTTAATGGTCCTCTGCTATGTAGGTTTTTAATATTTCAATTGCCCAAAGAAGAATTGGGAAAATGAAAGTCCTTGTATAGGTGGCTTGGGACCGGGGGCCACTTGTGGGGTTTCGGTCAGCATTTAGTAATGTTTACCAATCTGTATAGAAGTATGCAATGTTTTAGCAATGACTACAACTGTACCTGTGCATATACAACCAAGATATCTGCTTTATTCTGTAGCAATGTTCTTGGTGTAATTTTATTGTTCTCCTTATTAATATGATCGCAAGCTCCAAGAGGCTAGAAATCATGACTCTTCACCTTTTTACAGCCTGTAGTGTTAAGTATTATGCATCTCACATAATAAGTGCTTAATAAGTGTTTGCTGAATGAAGATTGATTTTCCATTATGGTTCATTTTGAGGAGGAAGGGGAAAGATTTTGAAACTATGCTGCTTAAATAAAATACACATAATGAGAGGGATTGAGTTCTTGAGAATTTAACATTGTAACTACAAGGCTTGTATATTTTTGTAGACCTATATATACAAGAGAAATTTCTAGTGTAATACTTAACGTCTGGGTAAAGGTAAATTTATTCTTGAAACAGAGCTCAAAAGGAGTCTTTGTGTTTCTTTAGTTAAGACAGTCGTTTTCCCCAAGACCCCACCTTTGCCCTCAGCACTTCTGTAGGCTTCTCTTTGAAACGTGAATTGAATGCCAGGCATTTTGTTTGGTGTTTGTGGATTTGACTTTCTAATACCACCTACTAGGCTTAAGCACACCTGTGTTCTGAACCCCAGTGGAACAGAAGATAGTTGTATCTTTGGGCAAACACTGAGGACACCACCAGCAACCAGGATATATGTGATTTCAAGGCTTTTAATAACAATATTTAAAATATAGTTTTGGTATCAGATGGTCCATAATGAATTTGTGTGATATTGAAAAATGTAACCATAAGAAAAATTTTATACATATTTTTAAGTCCTCACAACATTTTCTTATAAGTAAATATCTAAATCAGTGCTAGCTTCCCAAATTCAGCAAGCAAGTATTATTGCACAATGTATCATGTTGTTATGACAACTGACGATCTAGAACAAGCAAAACCTGTAAGGATGAAGTACACCATTCAGCATAATGCACTTTATTCTCTTTAAAAGAAAAGTTATTTTTTTCCTCTACAAATGAGACAATATGATGGGGAAATTAAATTAAATGGTGATGTTATTCCCTGAGGGCAAAACAATTCCATTCAATAAATTAATTTTACATCAGTAACTCTTTCTTTTCTTGAAACTGACAGTAATAACCTGACAGCTTAAAGCGCTAATAAACTTCAAGATCAGTACAACTACACTACTTATACAAAAAGGAAGTCAGGAGTATCACAGGTATGATAATCATTCTCTGTTCATCACAAAGAGGGGAAAATTCTCTAAATTCAATTTAACTAACTGCATTTACTTGATGAAACAGAGTACTTAAAATAGTTTTTGACAGCATGTGGTTTGAGCATCCTAACATTCCCATTCTTTGGAAAGGTCTCTAAACCTTACTGACATTCTCCATTAAGCTATTGTAAATAAATAACACTTGAAACCTGGAAACCTATCACAGGAAAAATTCTATCATCCTAAAGAAAAAAGAATAAAGAAGGGGAGAAAGAGAAAACTGTAATGGGGCCTCAGACATAGATAAAACCAGCAAGTACAGATGTTTTAACTTAGTGACTTAGGGATTTGTTAGGACCTTCACATTTTAAGCAATTGAGCTATCTAGAAGCTACTATTTATAATGAGCAGTGGCAAGAGGGAACTCAAGGCTTTGTGCCTTTATCTCCCCATCTCAACCTCTGCTATCCTCAAATGAGCCAACAAGAACAAATATTAACCCCCCAGGCATAGAAGAACTCATTTCTTTTACTATTCTTCTCATAAAAACTTTATGTTTCTCTGAAAGTATTTTACAACCATGACAGAAAACATTATCACTAATTCCGGTAGATTCACATTGGCCCAAACCTGGGAATTCAGCCAGAACTGAAGAATAAGTTCTCTTTTGCATCCTCTCCAGGGTATGACTTCATCGTTAACACTTCTGTACCTAAATACCAACTCTTGGGTAACAAACCGGATGTATTGTGCCAAGTATCACTGCACTTATCATTTTTCATTTTCAGATGATACTGATAAATGATTTGTGAATGTAGAAAAAAACATTAAATGGAATAATAAACAGTTGCTCAGTTTCTTTGCTGCATTGAGTGGTTCTAATTAGAGGCTGAAGTAGTCCTGCTGCTTTTTCATCATTCAAGTTTATGATATAGCAAACATCCCAGAGGTCCCAGGGTCCTGAAGACTCAAAGAGAGATGTCACCTGTACATCCAAATAGATTACAGAGGTTTGCCAATCTGCAAAACCGCAGGTCTATCTAAAGCAGGAGGCATGTGCTGCCTGTTTTGTAGAAAGCACAATTTAATTGCTACAGTTCTGCAATTATTCACAAACCATGTTGAACAGTGAACAATTAACCCCAAATCTTAGCTCGACAGCCCTTACTACAGTTAGAGAGTTACATTTTAAAATGTTTAAGGCAGTTAGCCACACACATTTTTCAGCTCAAGCTAAGAGACTTCTCAAGGTTTTGTCATCTTTACCATCAATCGGTCTAACCCTGAAACCCTTGTTTTTTTGAATGGAGTATTGAAGTCTCACATAAAAAGAGGGGAACATTTCTTTCTGAAAGAGTCTCAACCTGTCCCCCTAAAGACAAAGTTCTTAGGTGCCAGAGCTTCTATGAATGGCTACACAGAAAAGGGAGAAGTCATTGGTTTTGGTTTCACTACTGAAATCTCTACTGCCACCAGAGATCAAACAAAATACTTTCTATCTTGTCTTTTCATTGGGAGCAATAGGCTATATTGTTGACTAAAAGTGTAAAGTCAGAGTGGACTCCACATTTTCTGCTGGACCTAAATGACCAATGCCCACTACAATCGTGCATTCGAAATGGATTAGCTCTTATCTCTCACTTGGTGGATAACAAGATGCAAACAGGCCTGAAAAGGTCACACAGGTGATTTCAATTGGCACCTTAAAGCAATTTTAGTCCTGCATAACTGCTCTCAGAGGGCTTATTTAATGGCCCTATTACAGCAGTGGTTCTGTAACAATATAATTGGTGTAATAACAATACCTCTACCAGTTGTTTTACACTGTATTTAAAGTCAACACTAGGAGATGACCATTTTTACTTAGAATGAATGATATTCAAAAAATGTCTTGTTTTTTTTTCAGTTGAAAAACAACACTAAGGAACATCATCAAAACCCTTCCAATGTTTATTGTAGATCCCTAGCCATGTAAAATTTCAATTCCACTTTGTTTTCTTATCAAGATCCTTAAATCACAAAGCCAGCAACACTTCATTTATTCATCAGACAACACATTCTTATTGGATACTTAATATGTGCCAGTCATGACTCTGTGGTTCTAGTGACAAAGAAGAGAATAAAATAAACAAAAACACCTGTCCTTCTGAAGCTTATATTCACAGAGGTTGGCAAGTTTTGCTGCAAAAGGCTAGATAGTAAATACATATTTTAGGCTTTTGGAGCCATATGAAAATGATCATAACACATGAACAAACGTGTGCAGCTGTGTTCCAATAAAACTTTACTCACAAAAATGAATGGGGAGCTAGATTTTGTCTATGGGCTATAGCTTATTGACCTTTAGCGCCAAGTGGAGGAGTCAGACAAAAAAATAAAAATAAGTAACTGTGGCATTTATTAAGAAGAAAACAAAAGAGGCAATGGTGATAGAAATGTGTGTGCATATGCCTGTGTTGCTAGAGAGCTTGCAATTTTAGATGAGGTGGCCAGAGAAGTTTTCACTTGAATGAGGACCTAAAGGAAGTGAGGGCATCATGCTGATATCTGGAGTAACAAGCAGCCATTTGGGTCAAGAGAATTGCAGATGTAAATGCTCTGAGGGTCCCCATATGGGGAGCTCCAGCCAAAGATGTTCAGTAGTCAAGGGGGACAGGCAGTAGTAGAAGACGAAGTCAGAGAACAGGAAGAGAAAGGAAGCATATGTGGGATATGGGATCATAGAGGGAATTGTAAATGTATGTATTTTATAACCTGAGTAAGATAGGAAGTCATAGGAGGGATTTGAGAAGAGGAATAAAATGATCATCTTGGCTGCTGCCCTGATGAAGAGAATCCAGGGAGGCAAGGGTAGAAACAGAGAGACCAGGCCCCAGGCTACAGTGGTCATCCAGGCAGGAGCTAATGGTGAGCTGAATCAAGACTGTAGCAACCGAGGTGAAGCAAGTGATGGGAATTGTGGTTATGGTTTTAAAATACAGCCAGAATTTTCTGAGCATTTGCAAGATATAAGAGAAAGAAGAAATTCAAGAATGGCTCCAAGGTATTAACTTGAGCAACTGGAGAAACGGAACTGCCATTTATGGAAATGAAGACACCTGGTGTAAAAGCAGAACCTATTGGGGCATTGGGGCTGTCTTGAAAGTAGTAAGTTTGAGATTTCTTTTTTTTTTTTTTTTTTTTTTTGAGACTCACTCTGTTGCCCACACTGGAGTGCAGTGGTGGGATCTCTGCTCACTATAATCTCTGCCTCCCAGATTCAAGAGAGTCTTGTGCCTCAGACTCCCAAATAGCTGGGACTACAGGCACACACCACCACACTCAGCTAATTTTTGTGTTGTTAGTAAGGATGGGGTTTCACCATGTTGGCCAGGCTGGTCTTGAACTCCTGACCTCAAGTGATCCACCCGCCTTGGCCTCCTAAAGTGCGGGGATTACAGGCGTGAGCTACTGCACCCGGCAGGATTTCTTTTGACCTTGAAATGGAGATGTCACATAGGCAGTTGGACATACCAGTTGAGGAGAAAGTTCTAGGCTAGGGTTATAAATTAGCAACTTGTCAGCATATGGATGATATTTAAAGAGATGAGATTTGATGAGGTCACTAAGAAAATGAATGCAGATAGGAAAGAAAATGTCTGAGGACTGAGCCCTGGGGCATTCCAATGTTGAGAAGTCAGGGAGATTAGAAATAACCTGCAAAGACTGTCTGTACACTTAGGCTCCTTAGAAATCAGTTTACATCTTTAGATACATGACATGTTTTAAAATTGCGAGGATAATTAAAAGCTGAATACATTAACAAATATTTTCCACAAATTTAAAGAAGAATTTGAAAATGGTATTTTTTCTTCATTAGAATATTTATATATGTATATTTATAGGACTGAAGATATAAAATATAAGCAACACTGGTGAGATGTTTATAACTCTAAAACTCCCCTTGTCCTATGTATACTTTAGAAAATAAAAATGAGCAAAAGAGTCTTCATGGAAGGGGTAAGACAGGAAATGTAGTTAGTCCAAGCCTGTTTCCACTCCCGGGGCCTTGACACAAGACACAGCTCTTAAGCAATGAACTGTAGGCACTGTCCAGCCAGCAACTGCAGAAGTGTCTATCCAGTCAGACACCATACTATAACTGTTAAAACACATTTAAACAGAACCTAAAGTTTGAAAAGAGACTTATAAAGTGGTTTTTGCCACAGGGAACATCTTTGAAACTCGCACAGACAATTCCCAGATGGGTTGTCTGTAGATGCAGTCTGGGCTGGGGCTGTCTGTCACCTCCAGCTAGGAGACAATCTGGCAGCATACAAAAAGAGCATGGAGAAAAAAGGAAGATGGAAGCGGTCAATGTAGCTGTTATAAAGTGACCATAATTTCCATCCACTTCACTTTTGTTTGAAGAGTTTCCTTGTTTTATTTTGTTGCTACTGTGTAGTGAAAATATAAATTCTGTCAAGAAGATATTGCATCTGTTCAAATGGAGAACAACACATGATCCCTTGAATTTTACATGAAATATAAAATGTGAGTATATAAAATATTTTGGCAAAATGCTGAATTCCTTGTATATTTAAAGAATTACGTAACACATATTGCCATAAAATATTAGCAAATATCACTTGGAAAACTTAACCTGAGCCAGAGTAACTTATGAATTCAATAGGAAAAATGTCAAAAAAAGGTTATGAAAGTATGTTAACAAATGTCGTTTATAGATAAGAAAACTACACCCAGAGAGACTGATTTGCCAATGTTACATCATGAGGAGATTGCAAAACCAGGATTAGAATATGCCATTTGCCTCCTTGCAACTGCTACTTTCTACAATTTTATATACTCCCAATTGTTTGACATCAAACAGTCAGATGATTGATTTGCTTTTCAACAGGTAGCCGTAGCATTGTGCAGGCAATGTAGGAATGACATTGGCATAGAGTTAATATGAAAGAATGAACAAGTCTGACTATAAAATGGAACAATTGCAAATCTAGCTGTATGTTTTCAAATCCAGCGATCCTCACATTACCATAAGTAATTCGGTCAGGCACCAACTTAAAATCAATCATGCTGCAGAAAAGTATATGAAAGTTCAGTATGTGCCAGTGACCGGGCATGAAGATGTAAAAGGCCTAGTCCCTGACATTGGAGAGAAACTTAGAGTTATCTATTTTAATCTCTTCATTCCTCTTATTCTTACCTTTGTGGGTAAATGTCATTTATATAACATTTTGTGGAACATTACATATATATAAAATGCAATATATAAAATATATATTAAATGCAATATATATAGATATTACATTGCATTTTAAAGATATGCTATAATGGACAAGAGAGGTTTGTAGAGTTGATTCCCTATGAACTGGCATGAAAAGATACATTTGTGTTGGCCAGATAGGATAAAAAGGAATTGCTGACTTGAGCCCCTGGGATAACAGTAAGAGGTAGCTGAGAGCCTGGGAGTTGATGGGGGTTGGAAGCAGAGAAGAGAAAGACAGGAAAGCAATGGGGCACATAGGGAATTCAGGATGTTTATGCAAAGTGGAATGTCCAGTTGAAAGGAACGAATGGAATGAGATATATTGCAGCATCCTTTTAACTTTTAGAGCACTTGGCAATGAATACAACTGTTTTCCCTGTATTTTCATACTAGGTTGATCTCGTATCCCTTTCAGATATGGCAGGATGGGATGACACACTTACCTATGTGAAGGCTAAGTTTCAATATTATTGAATTTTGGACAGTTGGAATGTTAATCATTCTCCCAACAAAGCACACTACAGAAATAAACTAGTAGTATGCCACTGTGTCACCTTTAGTATTAGCAGAATGGGCCATGGAGGGAGACAAGATCTAGTACAAGTGTATATGGTATTAGCAATATTTAATTATTGGGAAAGGAATGATATGGAGACAAATGTGATCACAGAAGAGTTCCTGGGGGAAGAAAACTTTAAAAATGGAATGATGTTTATATTATGATTGTTTATTCAAAATATTCTGATGAATTTTGTACAGAATCGATGAGGAGAAAAAAACCTAAGCAGTGATAAATATCCGTTGGGGAATTTTTAAAGAACTGTAGATTGTTTCCAAAGAAAGACAAAAGATCCAGGAACAAAGTGGTAGCACTGGTAGATGAATCCCAGTCAACAAGAGATCTGGCTCTTGAAAAAGCAATAGAATAAAGGATACTTGGTGATTCTCAAAGTGTACAGTTTGGAGGACAGGGCGGAGCAGGTGCCAAGAAAAGAATAATATAAACTATGAATTGAACAAACTAGGGTAATGTTACAAGAATAGAATGCTTCAATGACTTAGGCGCAAGCAAGCATTGAGAACTATAAAAGATTTCACCTCAGTGTGACATTTCAATATACACTTAAAAGAAGGCACCTCCTAGACCAGACAGGCCGTTGATTGCTAGAATAGATTCAATTGTAGAAATCATTGAGGAAGCATCTCCCAATATCTTGATATCCAGGCAGATACAAGATAAAATTATTTCCAACTGTACTGTAAGGCTAAAAAAAACTTTTGTATAGTATGGTAGTTGAGATTAAACAAATCAACAAATACCAAAATGAGTTTTGGTATCTGCCAGGAACGAGAGCTCATGGCAGTTGCTCATAAAGGTCCAGGCTCACTCAGCTCTAGCCAGCCTTAGAAAGCTTGAGAGGCACTATTTTCGCTATTACAACAAATTCTAATTGAATAGACTGGATAAAGAAAATGTGGTACACATACACCATGGAATACTATGCAGCCATAGAAAAGAATGAAATCATGTCCTTTGTTGGGAAATAGATGAAGCTGGAGGCCATCATCCTTAGCTAACTAATGCAGGAAGATAAAAACCAAATGTCACATGTTCATGTTCTCACTTATAAGTAGGAGCTGAATGATGATAACTCATGGACACCAAGAAAGAAACAACATACACTGGAGCCTATTGGAGAGTGGAGAGTGGGAGGAGGGAAGGGATCAGGAAAAAATAACTAATAGCTACTAGGCTTAATACCTGAGTGATAAAATAATCTGTACAACTAACCCCCATGACAGGAGTTTACCTATATAAAAACCTGCACTTGTACCCCTGAACTTAAAAGTTAAAAAAAAAAAAGAAAAGAAAAATAAGATGATCAAGAATCAGAAAGAAACAGGATGGTATCTTGGTTCAGATTTCTAAATAAATAAGCTAGCAGTAACTGTACAGAGGCTAGATACTGCCCACTTTTTCAAAAATGGTTGCGATTGGGAACTTATCATCCTTTCCTTGATGACGATAAAGAGAGTTGGGTTATCTTCTACCTTTTCCTCTCTTCTCTTCTCTGCATTGAGCATCGTTCACCTTCTGTTTCCCATTGTAGACAATAGGATACATACTAGAAAATTAGGAGATTCTTCGATAATTCCTCCCTAATGTGAGGGGAGAAATCGGGATTAGTGGAGATGGCTGGGAAACTATGGGGACTTCAGGACTGATCAGAGGGAAACAAGATGTAAATGGTTTAAATCCACACCAGCAACCCAAGCTCCAAGACTTCCAACATGGACTACAGAATTCCAGTCAGGGTTTCTTATAGGGACTAGTGGGATACCAAGAAAATGTGTCCATAACAATTGAAAAGAAGTATGCTGAGTTATTTTCCTATTGCTGCTTAACAAATTACCACAAGTTTAGCTGCTAAGAACCACACACATTTATTATCTCACAATTTATTCTGTCACAGGCATTGCCTAGTTGGGTTCTCGGCTCAGGGTCTCACAAGTCTACAATCAAGGTGTTGGCTGGAGTGAATTCTCATCTGGAGCTCAGGGTCATCTTCCAAAATTATAAAGATTGTTGAGAGAATTAAGATTCCCAGCATTTTACCACTTTTTAGTTCCTTTGGGCTGAAGGATGAAGGCTATCAGCTCCCAGAGGCCACTTGTCTCCATAGGCAGTTTCTAACATGGCTATTTGCTTCTTCAAGAGCAGCAGGAAAGCATCTCTTTCTTCAGGATGGGTCCAGTCCCTCTTCTAGGGACTCTCACCTGATTAAGTCTAGCCGACTCAGGATAATCTCCTTTTGAATTAACTCAGTATTAACTAACTCAGGACCTTAATTACTTCTACAAAAGGATAATCTCCTTTTGAATTAACTCAGTATTAACTAACTTGGGACCTTAATTACTTCTACAAAATCTTTTCACCTTTTCACTGGAGTGATATCACACCAGATTCAAAGGTCTCACCCACACTCAAGAGAAGGGAGTTATACAGGACCTCTACACCAAAAGGTGATAATGTTGGTGCCATCTTAGAATTTTGCCTACCATATATGCAAAGTAAGGCTGTATGTGCATCTCAAATAATACTTAGTTTTCAATTGTTTTATCTAGGAGCTCTACCTGACTCCAGTTCCCTCTCAGAGTCTGAAAGGATTATAGATATTTGCAGTCTAAATATGCAATGTTACTTGCCTGAGGTATGTTGTGTTGAGGCTGGAGTCTCTGTGGGGTGAGTTAGTGGATACTTTCCCTGTGCTGAGCTGCATGGTGGGTTTGATCACAGTGGTGACATTAACTGGGTTCAACCTCTACTGTGTGTTGTTTCACTACTGTGGTCACTGCTATGCTGGAGGGATCCTCCACCCTCCCCACAGCACTTTGTGCTAACACATGTGGTGAGGTAAATGCTGAGAGACTCGTGGTGCAGCCTCCTCTACTCCACAGCCAACATGTTTCTAAATGTGAAGAAGTGGCAGCAGAATGTAAGCTGCTTTAATTGGGGATTTCTGTGGAGCCCACAGAAGGGGAGGCTATGGATTAGAAGGCAAGTGGTTTTTCTTCATGAGTTCAGAATCTAGAGGAGAACAGCATTTTCTGGGTTGAATTAGAACCATTTAGTTAGTGTTCTAGGGAGACCGTTCCATCAGCAACCTTGATTTAAGGAACCCAGTCCACTGACCAAAAAGCATAGTTTTGTGAATTCCACAGACATTAACGATAGTACCAGAATCTGCCACCAGATTGGTGATTCTTTCCTTAAACATACACAAATTCCAAATTGCTATGTGTGGTGTGGTTGTAGGGGTGAAAATTTCTTCTTGGCTTATAGATCCATTCTGACCAAGGGAGAAATTTGGAGAACTATGCCTTTGGAAAGAAATCTAATTGGCAGGAATCAAGAGATAGAATTATGTCTATTATTCTCAAGAGAACCTTCTCTCTTCAATCCAGGAGAGCTAATGCAACTTTACTAAATCTGCTGGGTGTATGTGGTCAGGGTAAAAGAGGCAGGAGAGCCTGTAAAAATCCATTTAGAGCAGACCATTAGTTTTACAATCTCTGTCTTGATGTTTAGAAGAAACTCCACTGCCAATTGATCTGTGTCTTGGGGTTAGTGACAAAGGGGCAGATTAGGAAGGCCTGACTCTGAAACAACTAAACTGAGAAGCAAACCTCCAGACCCTCTGTGGCTAGCAGCTCTGGCAAATCATTATAGTACTGGGTGCCAGAATGAACATTGTGACAGCTGGGTAAGGTGTCCTGAGTTTCAGTCAGATCTCATGTGAGATTTGGAAATAAGAAATCAATAAAACTGAGGGAATGTCAAAAGTGCTCCCTAGATATTTCAGTGTGTCTGTTATGGTTATTGCCATAACTACAATCTCAAAGCCAAATCTGTGACCATTAAAAATATGCAATTCATCATGGAAAACTGTTATAAAGGGGAGAAAATTCATGCCAACCTAGAATAATCACAGTGAAATCTACAGTTTAGTTACTTCTATTTATGTAGCACCAGAAAGGAATCCTATCTTCACCTTCACAGAGAAGATGTTTTGAGATAAAAAGGGGAAAAAAAGAAGTGGCATCCTTAAGGTACAAACTTGATGACACTTCAGACTTGGGAAAGGGGACACCTCTCATTGCCTCTCCAGGAGACAACTTCTCTCCCCAAACCATAATCTCAAAGTCACAGATATCAAGTCTGCAGGGCCTTGTTCCATCTAAGACAGAAATGTGGGAAATGTACTGTGTTAAAAAGGTTGACTTCTGATGAACCAGAGACAGCTCCTGAAGAAGTTTTGGTAAAAGTCATCCATATGGTGATTATTCAAAAACTAACTATCTTTGTCCAAGGAGATACTGGTTCGGTGTCTGTGAAGCAAGGCCAGAGCCCCACTCACTTATTTAGAAGAGGGTGACCTTCCACTTTGGAACAACTGAAGAATTTTCAGTTGGAAAAGAATGTGGCAAGACAGGTGTCTCTATCTACTTAACCTCCTCCTTCTTTCCTGTCTTCACCCACTGTAGGGAGGGAGCTTCTTAGCTTAATAACACTGCAGAGTTATCAATGGTCGTTATTATTGTCAATAGTTGTCACGTAATTGACATGTTCTCCCAGTACTTTATGTACTGGGAGAACTCAAGAAGAAGATAGGTGAATGGACTGTGCTGACCTTGGCCACAAGTGTGGAAGAAAACTTAAGAATTTTAGACACAAGGCACAATTGAATCTAAACTCAGAGAGCGGAAACAAGACAAAACTGAGATTTTAAATGGTGGAAGCAGTATTAGAAAAAGTAAAAAGAACAAAACAAAAGAAAGCAATGTCACCCATACTTCCAAGGTGGACTGTTGTAAGAATAAGAAACAGATCATTCAGGTATAGTGAAACAGCACTTGCAGCATCCTCCTATTTCAAGCCACAGTTTAATATGGATCTTTGCAGTACTTGAGCATGCCTGCATATCCTTCAGACTTTGCAAAGTGCACTGGCAGAGTTACCGGTTGTTCAGCCTTGTAAGCTGCATTCCCAGCATTTTACCTCTTTTCAGTAAAAGTGTTGCATGGTTTGAATAAAGCAACAAATGACATCAGTTGTGTAGTTGAATAAAGGGGACGAAGAGGGCAGTCTCCATTCTATACTTGGATTCAGGTTAGAGCAGTGGTTAGAGTAAGTAAACCTTAGATTAGCACAAAGATTTGAGCAGCTGTAAGAGTGGACACATACGGAGGATGCATGTGCTTTTATGAAATGAGTATATTCTTGTAAATCATATCTTGGTAAGTTAAGTAGTGTTTCAAATAACCTGAGATGCTTTCAATGCAGTGAAACCTTTGTCAGATGTTCTGTTTCCTCAGCCATTTTGAAAACCCCATCTGTTTACAAGCTCTTTCAGTCTTCTACAGCTGTTTTCTGGGGTTGAGCAACTTCAGGGAAACATGATCAGGATACCTATGACAAAGACATGACCCTTCCTCTCCACTCATGTGACTCTAGGCTAGCGAGTAAGACACCTTAAACTACCTCAATTAAGATGGGGTTTACAAAATAGCATTTTGAATTTTGTCATGTTAATTCTCTCTTTAAACTATCAGACTTTTTCTCTTTTTAAGATAAAGAAGTTCTGGTAATAGAAACAATGGTATGTGAATAACAAGATATAAAATACAGAGATACAGCACTGGCCACCCAGAATCAATTCAGGGGTCTCTGAATAAATGATATTCCATTTTATTTGTTTCAATTAGTTGAAAACTACATATTTTTGCTGTTTAGGATGTAAAAAAATCCATGCCCTGAATGGAACGGGGGAGTTTTTTTTTTTTAAATTCTTAATTCACTAATGAAAACAATCCAAAACAAAATTCTCAGCAAGTAATTATTTTGTATAAATGTAGATGATTATTAGTTTGTGTATTATATGTTATCTATAATTTATAGCTATAATATTTCAGCTTTCTGTAGGAGGCAAGAACATTTTACCTAATGATTTATTGTCAGCATATCACCTATCACTTTACAGATAGTTTCTATCAATTTTATCTACATATATATCATCCAAAAAGAACAATAATATTAAACAGGTTCTATTTTGATCAGTTCTGATGTACAGACTTTGTTATGGATGCCAAACTTCCTTAGAAACATAATACTGTACATTTGTGCATTACTTTATAGTTTTCAAAATGTAGTCAAATTTACTATTATAATGTGTCCAAAATAATATTTTATAGATAAATGTTGGATTTTAAAATACTAAAAAGAATGAGGATGTTCAAAAATATCAGAAACTTTACAATATATAAATAATCATAAACATGTAGTACAATGGTGTGAACTGTGTGGAGCAGCCTTTGTGGACCATCCTGCAATGTCCTGATTAAGTCTCTGAACTCCTCACTCTCCAAAGTTCCATTGGTAAAGTAGCAGTCTACTAACCTCACCAGGAATGTGTTAAAATACATTAAAAATATCTGATTTTAGAGGCTAATGAAGCAGTTTTATAATAATATGACAGAGGAGTTTAGAGGGGATATATGTGGTTATATATTTTTTGGCACTGCCTGTAGGCTAAAGCTCTGCAAGCAGAATCTGAAGAACAGAGTGGTGCATGAGAGTGGTGAAAGGATGTGAGTGTGTGAAAGTGTGTATATATGAAAGAGTGAGATAGAGTGTGAGAGAGAGAGGAGTGTGTGTGTGTGTGTGTGTGTGTGTGCATGTGCCTGTGCTTGCACAGGTATACGTGGATACTGCGCAAATGTGTCCATGTAGAGAGAATATTTGCTGAGAATATTTGCAAATGTGATGGAAGGTTAATTCTTTTTGTTGATGGTATAAAGTTAATAAAGCCTACAGTGCCACCTTGGCAAAGTGCACTAGGAAGGTGAGAATGCATATGAGACTTAATTCCTGACTTCAAGAAGCTTAAGCTCATCAGAGAACAAGAAGTATATAGATGAAACAATTAGAGAACAAAATCTAATATATTACATAAACTTCTTTTTTTGCTTTTGAGACAGTATCTTCCTCTGTTGCTCAGGCTGGAATGCAGTGACATTATCAGAGCTCACTAGAGCTTGGAACTCCTGGACTCAAGCTAGTCTCTTGCCTCAGCCTCCTGAGTAGCTACAACTACAGGCACAAGCCACTACACCTGGCTAATTTTTAAGTTTTTTTGTAGAGATAGTATCTTGAAATGCTGCCCAGGCTGGTCTGGAAATCCTGGCCTCAAGTGATCCCCCAACCTTGGTCTACCAAAGTGCTGGGATTACAGGCATGAGCCATCACATCCAGCCTTAATATATAAACTTCTGAATTGACTGTATAAGTGTGTATGTGAGAGTGTGTGTGTGTGTGTGTGTGTGTGTGTGTGTCTGTAGTGGGGTGTGGAGGGAAAGATGATGTACTAATAATTATAAATTAAAATTTTAATAACAGTGATGAATATGGGCTAGAAACATTCAGGAAAATATATTAGAAAGCGAGTATTTAAGTTGGTTTAGCAAACATTTCAAATATGTGTGTTTGTGAGTGTGTATGTGTATACGGGTATATGTGTGTGTATTGGGGGAAGACTGCCATAATGAGAGAATATTCTCAACCAGGAAGAAGAAAATCCTCAAAGCATCACAAGACACTTACTCATTCAACAAAACAGAATACAAAATCCACCAGCTCTGTGCTTGGTGTCGAGGATACGAAGCACACATTTCCCTTTTTGTTATCACTTATATACAAAAAGAATAAGTATATTCACATTTCATGGTATGATTTTTATGGTTTTCAGATCCTAAGGTCGAATCCCCATGGGCTGACAGAACTTGTCGAAAACCCTGCCTAGTTTCCTTTCCGGAAAGACAACAAAGAAACAAACCTACAAACCCCCAAACTACAGCTCCAACATATTTTAAAAATACATCGTTTTTATTTCATTTCTTTAGAAAATTAGATTAATTACACTTAGAGATCTTAGTGGATCCTATAATTACTGCAATTTAAGAAATAAAAGCCTGGGAGGGCTCAGAGAAATAGGGTTAGAAACCTACTAAATAAAATTAGACATTAACTTAGCAACCTCATAAGCCCTTCATTTCTCACTGAGGCATCCCCTGCTCTAGGTCTCCTTCTCTGATCCAGTCTGGGCTCCTTGAGTACCTCTGCTTTCAAGGCATCTCTCATACCCTCCTGTGATTCTACTTATCCCATGGTTTGTGTCTGTCTTCCCCATTAGGCTGAAAATTTATTTATTTTTTAACAATTATTACTGACACCACAGCTAGCATCGATTGGGTTCCCATGAATGTTTGCTGCTCATTGTCAAATAATTTGGAGTTCCTGGTCTGAAATTGTGTAAGATCTTCTAGGTAAACCATAGAGGACCAACTTTTGCAGCTGTAGTTTTTGAAAAGGCAAATTTGAGAGCCTTCTAGGTCTTAGAGAGTGAAAATAAAGTTTTTAAAAAGTATATATTTTATTATTTCATCCCATAAATATATCACACTGGTGGAAAGAGAGAAAGAAGCCTACACCAACAGAATGGAGGCTTTTACTCTAGGAATATAAAGTAGAACTGAACTGAATGTCACTTGAAATTTTGTCTTTGGATGGATGGGGGGAAGGGGAGAGGCACTCACCACTGTCTAAAGTCTAAGTGAATCCTTTTGGAAACAAAGTGCAGGAGTGTTCATGCTCACAGCAAGAAAAAGGTTCCAAGAGTAAAGATCCAGGCTTTGAATCCCACTGTGAAGGGCGACTGTTTCCAAATCAAAGGGTACGAAAGGGCTGTAGTTCTGCTCTTCGACTCCGGCACTGATCAAAGCCTTTATTTGCTTCTGCTCTTTCAAAGAGCAAGCTATGAATGGCAGATTAGTGCCTTAATCCTCATATTCTCAACTCGTCCCATTCCAAATGTAGAGAACTAGGATTTTCTAACACTCCCAGAATGCAGAGCTGAACTACACCTGTGGTTTCCTTCAACACAATAAACTCTGACTTATCTGGTTGTCAATGGTTTATAATTGGCCATCAAATGAATGCTTACTTGTGATTCTCACTGGATAGAGCTCTCAAAAACACCTTTCTTTGTTTAAGCAAAGCCTGATATGTTTAAATAATAGCAAAGAGAAACGAACCTACAGGAAGAGGGAAAAACAGAAAGATCATCCTATTTCATTGCCTGACCAATATACCTCTGGGGAAAATTACTGTCATGTGACCTGCTATATAGGCTTGTTTCTGACTCAGCAGTTCCTTCCATTAAAGTTTAAGTTCCTCTCAAAGCCCCACTTCTTCCCCTGTGTTGACTGCATGAAGAAAGTCCTCAGGCTGTTTCCTTTCTTCCCTTATGCAGGCAAGTAACACTAGAGAAATAGCAGACTACCAGTGTGTCTGGAGCAAAAGGGGAGGGAAGGAAGTCAGAGAGAAGGTCTGAGATAAGGGGCAAGGATGACCATGTATCACCTTGTAAAATCACAGAAAAATTTACAAGTGGGACCTAATTAAACTAAAGAGCATCTCACAGCAAAAGAAGCTATCAACAGAGTTAACAGACAACCTACAGAATGGGAGAAAACATTTGCAAACTATATATCCAACAAAGGTCTGTATCAAAAATCTACAAGGAACTTAAATCAACAAGCAAGAAACAAATAATTCAATTAAAAAATGGACAAAAGACATGCTCATTTTTTTGAGAAACTTTTCAAAAGACATTCTCAAGTGGCCAAAAGATGTATGAAAAAAAATGCTCATCAACACTAATTCTTAGAGAAATGCAAATCAAAGCCATAATGAGAAACCATCCTAACACCAGTCAAAATGGCTATTATTAAAAAGTCAAAAAATAACAGATGCTGGTGAGGCTGTGGAGAAAAGGGAACATTTTTACGCTGTTGGTAGAAATGCAAATTAGCTCAGCCACTGTGAAAAGAGGTAGGACATTTCTCAAAGAACTTAATACAGAATTACTATTCAACCCAGCAATCCCATTACTGGGTATATATCCAAAAGAATTAAATTGTTCTACCAAAAAAATACATGTGTTTTCATGTTTATGGCAGTGCTATTCACAATAGCAAAGACATGGACTCAATCTTGGTTGCTATCAACAATGGACTGGATTAAAAAAATGGGGTACATATACACCATGGAATAGTACAAAGCCACAAGAAAGAATGAAATCATGTCCTTTGTAGCAGCATGGATAGAATTGAGGCCATTATCCTAAGTGAATTCTGCAGGAATAGAAAACCCAATACTACATATTCTCACTTATAGGTGGGAGCTAAAAATTGAGTACACATGGATATAAAATTGGGAACAATAGTCACTGGGGACTACTAGAGGAAGACGTGGGCTGCAAAACTACTAATTTGGTACAATGCTTACTACCTGGGTGACAGAATCATCTATACCCCAAACCTCAGTATCACGCAACATGCCCATGTAATAAACCTGCACATGTACTCTCTGATTCCAAAATAAAAGTTGTAAAGAAAAAAAAAAGAATTTGGCTTTTCTTCTGAGAAAAATGAAGTGTCTCACTAACAGCTTGTGAGCAGGGGTGTGATGTGATCTGATTTATGTTGCAAAGGGAACACTTGGGTTGCTATGATGAAAATAGACTAGGGAGGCAAGGACAGACAAAGGGAGACCTGCCAACAATCATCCAGGTGGAAGTTACTGTGGGTGAATCATATGGAGGCGGTGGCGGTGGAGGTGGTGAGCTGTGGTTGGAGTCTGGATCTATTCAGGTAGAGCAAAGATGCTAGAAGGGTAAGGTTGTTACCGGCCAAGATAGGAAAGCCTGAGGATATAGAAAATTTGAGATGTCAAAGGTCCACACCAGTATTACAACCCGAAGGCAGGTGAAAAAAGAGAAAATTATGTTTTTCTGTTGCAAATTGAGAAGCATATGAATGGGATTCTGCTCTGTCTACTGGCAATTACAAAAGATTTTATAACTTATAAACATTAGGTTAGTCAAACTAAAGGGAAATGAAAAACAGAAATATGAGATGGAGGATAAAGAAGATATTACTTAACAGCTCTCAGATTTCAGAAACACACAGCCTAAGGCAGTGGTTCACAAACTTGTGTGCACAGCAGAGTCATAAGGAGGGTTTGTTAAAACATAATTGCTGGCTCCTACCCTCAGAATTTCTAATTCAGTAGATCTGGGTTATCCCAAGAATATGCATTTCTAGTTTTCAGGTAATACTGATATTCCTGGTGTGGAGACCACAGTTAGCGAACAACAGGCCAAAGAATAAGTAAGTCTGAGATAAGTTTAGAACTTATCAAGAAAAGAAGCAATTTGGACCTAAACCTTGCCAATCTTTAAGGAAACTGTGGTATATATACATCATAGAATACTATGCACAATAAAAAGAATGAGATCGGCTGGGCATGGTGGCTCATTCCTGTAATTCCAGCACTTTGGGAGGCCGAGGTGGGCAGATCACAAGGTCAGGAGATCGAGACCATCCTGGCTAACAGGGTGAAACCTCATCTCTACCAAAAATAAAAAAATTAGCCGGGAGTGGTGGTGGGTGCCTGTAGTCCCAGCTACTCAGGAGGCTAAGGCAGGAGAATGGCGTGAACCCGGGAGGCAGAGCTTGCAGTGAGCCGAGATAGCGCAACTGCACTCCAGCCTGGGCAACAGAGCGAGACTCTGTCTCAAAAAAAAAAAAAAAAAAAAATGAAATCATGTCTTTTGCTGCAACATGGAAACATGGATGGAGCCAGAGGCCTTTGTCCTTAGCAATCTAACACAGGAACAGAAAGCCAAATACTGCATATTCACACTTAAAAATAGGAGCTAAATGATGAGAACACATGGACACATAGAGGGGAATAACATACACTGGGGGCCTATTGGAGGGGGGGAGGGTGGGAGGAGGGAGAAGATGAGGGAAAATAATTAATAGGTACTAGGCTTAATACTTGGGTGATGAAATAATCTGTATAACAAATTCCCGTGACACAAATTTACTGATGTAACAAACCTGCACATGTACCCCCAAACCTAAAATAAAAATGGAAAAAAAAGAAGCTTAACCCTTCACAGGAGTAATATCAGGAGCTTAGTTTTGGACAGGCTGTTCAATCTGTAAGTCTGGAGTTTGGGAGAGAAGTTTAGGCTTGAGATATTGAGAGTTGTCAGCTTATAGATGGAATTTATAATCATGGAAAATGAGAGATAGATGTGCAAAATGGTTAATAATATGAAAACAGAAAGGTGAAATAAAGATTGAGGGCAAAGAAAAAAGGATATTCAAGTCATTCTTGATTGATAAATGTTATCTAACAGCTATTCTTTTGTTGTAATAGATTTGTTGAGGCTCAAAGCAGGAAGTTTTCTTCTGTATTTCTCCTCCTCAATGTGAAGTATCTGAGACTGAGATGTTATCTAACATGACCATTCTTCCACAGCTGCTGTGACATGCTATGGTTGGCTCTCCATGTCTCCAGGTTCTGCATCCACAGATTCAAGCAATAGCATATCAAAAATATTTGGAAAACAAAAACAAAAACAAAATTATAGCAATTTAAAAAATACAAATAGCAAATACAGTATAACTATTTACCTAGCATTTACACGGTATTAGGTATTATAAATAACCTAGAGATAATTTAAATTATACAGGAAGATGTGCATGGATTATATGCAAATACTATGCCATTTTATTTCAGGGTCATAAGCATGCATGGATTTCGGTGTCTGAGGGAAGTCCTGGAACCAATCCCCTGTGGATACCGAGGGATGACTATTTCCAAAGATGGCTGCAACATTATCTCCCATTCTAAGTGCTATTCTGAATTGTGACTTTGATATCTCCCTCATTAAGAGATGGGTCTTTTCTTCCCTAAAATCTAGGCAGGCTTATGACTTGCTTGAAACCAACAAAAGGCAGTGGATGTGATACTTAGTGACTTTCCAAGTTAGGTCAGAAAATGTGTTGCAATTTTAACTTTATTTGGTGAAATACTCCTCCTAAATCCAAGAGTCTCAATATTGAAGCTTGGCTGTGGTAAGGCTGCCATACTGTGAGGAAGCCCAAATCAGCCCATATAAAAAGATTGCATGGAGAAGCTCTGAGACTACATTAAGAGAGGAAGAGATGCCTGGCCAGTACCTGCACACACTAGATATCTGCTCTTCAACCCCAGCAATCATATCATCGAAAATGCATGCGCGATCCCAAGCCTTGTCCAGCCAAGCCTTTTCTGAATTTCCAACACACAGAAACTTTAAGAAATAATACAGTGCTGTTGTTTTAAGCCACTGAGTTTGGGGGTATTCACTCTAATTTGGTTAATTTTTAAAACTGCTTGATCGCCAAAACTGTTTTTAGTGGAAGGGGAGTAATAATAACACCCTTAACGTAAATTGAAATTTGCATTCCACCAAGAGAACATTTTAGAAAATATCACCCTATATTCACCACGTAAATTTTGTTTAGTAATGTTGTTTCCCAAAGACCAATTCCTGCATGAGAGAGGATTGTACCTCAGTCAACATATATATTTATGACTCAGTACAAGTGGGTAAATTGAGATTCTCACTTATCAATCATGCTTAAGTTTGATTAGCATTAATTAGTTCCCAGAGCCTCCTCACTTGGAACAAAAATATCAAGTCCTTAATAAAGAAGTCTGGCTTCCATGCCTTGCATGGATGGTGACCCTTCAATGGAATTAAGCAGAATTTCTACTGATCCATTTTAACTACAAGAGAGCTTACCTAATTTATTTACGTGACTTATTTACGTGACTTTTCTATCTCAGACAAGTCTTCTACTCCAGAAAAATAAAAGATCAAGATCTGTCAGGAATTATTAGAAGACATTTTGCCATTTTGTACTTAACAAACTCTTAACTAGAAATTCCAAAATTTCAAGAGGAGTTTTCACAAGAGTCTTCCTTAGATTCTGGGTACGAACAATGCTGTTTGGAATCTAGGGAGCCAGAGGTTGAAAAGAGAGCGCTCACCTTACTTCTGCATTAAGCTGTGAATGTCTTTTGCTACTTGAAGAATAACAGGTTTTGGAAATTTCTGAGAAGAGCCACTTTGGCTCTCACAATGAGATTTCTCATAATAGGCAACATTAAAGCAATAATGCAGAGTGAAGAGAAACTCAAGAGACAAGGCTATAGAGAAATGTTCTCTATTCAAATAAAAGTCTACTTACAGAAACAGATATAGAGGAAGAAGTCTGTCTTTTCATTCCAGGGTCACTCATCCATACACATAGTTTTATTTAAGATGTATAAGCTAGCTATTCCCATATTTCTATTTCTATTTCTAGTACAGACTTCACATTTGAACTACAAATGATATGTATAACTGTCTACACAACATCTTGATTTGGATCTCTCACAAGTACTTCAACATCAACATATTCAAAACTTAAAACATGGACGAATCCTTAAATCTCACTCTCCTCCAATTTCCATATCTCAGTGAATGGCACTATCATCCAGACAGTAGCCAATCTTTTCCATCATTCTCATATTTCATCTAATACTATTACTAATCTATTTGATCTACTTAACATTCTTACCATCCACTAAATTATTTCCCTTTCCATTGTTACCATTGGGCACAGATTATAACAACTCTTGCTTGAACTGCTGTAGTGATCGGGATTCTGTATTTCAGGCAAAACAAATCAGCTCTGGGTAATTTACTCAGAAAAATCACATAAAGATAATGGGTAGGTCACCGATGACTGGAGAACACTGGTGAGGTCATTTTAGGATATCAAAAAAAAATACATGGGAAATAAGACTGCAGATAACAAAGCCAAGGTCATTTCCTTCAGAGTTACAGTTCAGTTTGGGAGCATTTGACGGTCAAGATTGGGAAATAGGACCATCTCCCAGCCATCAGGGAATGGACATATCTGACTCACTTTGGCTTTAGATTCACCTAATGGTGGTCTCGTCCAACTTAGAAGCAGATCTTGATCTTGGGTGACAAAAGCCATATTAGTCTCATAAACATCAACTTAGTTTCTATGGTAGATTAAAGGTAACCTCAAATTATTTGCATCTTCCTTCCCCTTGAGAACTGAAACAAGACAAGGAAGCCTACTCTCACCACTTCTATTCAACAAAATACTGGAGTGCTAGCCAGAGCAATTAGGCAAGAGAAAGATATAAAAGCATCCAAATAGAAAAAAAAAAAAGTCAAATTATCTCTTTTCATGGACGATACAATTCTATATTTAGAAAACCCTAAATACTCTGCCAGAAGGCTCCTGGAACTGGTAAAGGACTTTAGCAAAGCTTCAGGATAAAAATCAATGTACATAAATCAGTAGCATTTAGTAGCATTTCTATATACCAATAACACTGAAGCTGAGAGCCAAATCAAGAATACAATCCCATTTACAATAGCCACAAAAAAGTAAAATACCTAGGAATACATTTAACCAAGGAGATGAAAGATCTGTATAAGGAGAACTACAAAGCACTGCCAAAAGAAATCATATACGACACAAACAAATGGAAAAACATTCCATGCTCACAGACAGGAAGAATCAATGCTGTTAAAATGGTCAATAATGCCCAAAGCAATCTACAAATTCAATACCATTCCTATCAAACCAACATCATTTTTCACAGAATTGGCAATAACTATTCTAAAAATAATATGAAACCAAAAAAGAGCCAAATAGCCAAAGCAATCCTAAGCAAAAAGAAAAAAGCCAGAGGCATCACATTACCTGAATTCAAAGTATAATATAAGGTTACAGTAACCAAAACAGTATGGTACTGATACAAAAACAGACACATAGGCCAATGAAACAGAATAAAGATCCTGGAAATAAAGCCACACACCTACAGTAATCTAATCTTTGACAAAATGGACAAAAATAAGCAAGGGGGAAAGGACTGTCTATTCAATAAATGATGCTGGGATAACAGGCTAGTCATATGTAGAAGAATAAAGCTGGTTCCCTACCTTTAACCATAGAAAAAATTAACTCAAGATGGATTGAATATTTACATGTAAGACATCAAACTATAAGAATCCTAGAAGAAAACCCAGGAAACATCATTCTGAACATTAGCCTTGGGAAAGAATTTATGACTAAGTCCTCAAAAGCAATTGTAACAAAAACAAAAATTGACAAATGGAGCCTAATTAAACTAGACAGCTTCCGCACAGTAAGAGAAACTATCAACAGAATAAACATACAACCTACAGAATGGGGGAAAACATCTGCAAACTACAAATCTGACAAAAGCCTAATGTCCAGATCTATAAGGAATTTAAACTATTGAAAAAGCAAAAAATAAATAACCCTGTTAAAAAAAAGTGGGCAAAAGACATGAACAGACACTTCTCAAAAGAAGACATATAAGTGGTCAACAAACTTATTAAAAATGCTCCTCATCACTAATCATTAAAGAAATGCAAATCAAAACCACAATGAGATACCATCTCACACTAGTCAGAATAGCTATTATTAAAAACTCAGAATACAACAGATGTTGGCAAGTTTGCAATGAAAAGGGAATGCTATACACTCCTGGTGGGAATGTAAATTAGCTCAGCCATTGTGGGAAGCAGTTTGGCAATTTCTCAAAGAACTTAAAACAACTATCATTTAACCCAGCAATTCCATTACTGGGTATATATCCAAAAGAAAACAAATCATTCTACCAAAAAGATACATGCATTTGCATGTTCATCGCAGCACCATTCACAATAGCACAGACATGGAATCAACCTAGTGCCCATCAATGGTGGATTGGATGAAGAAAATGTGGTACATATACACAATGGAATATTACGTAGCTACAGAAAAGAATAAAATCATGTCCTTTGCAGCAGCATGGATGCAGCTGGAGGCCATTATCCTAAGCAAATTAACCCAGGAACAGAAAACCAAATACTGCTTGTTCTCACTTACAAGTGGGAGTTAAACATTGGATACTCATAAAGATGGGAGCAGTAGACACCGGGGACTACTAGATGAGGAAGGGAGAAAATGGGGTAAGTGTTGAAAAACTGTTGGGGACTTTTCTCAGTATCTGTGTGATGGGATCATTTATAACTCAAACCTCAGCATCATGCATATACCCAGGTAACAAACTGCACATGTACAGCATGAATCTAAAATAAAAGTTGAAAAAGAAAAAGATTAAATTAAAAATTAAAGATTATTTTCTTCTCCTTTAGAGGTGTGTGGTCTAAATCCTCTTCCCATGAATCTAGGCTGGCTTCTCTGAGTGCTTTAATTCCTGTTTTGCAATTTCTAGACTCAAGTCTCTAAAAACTGGAAGCACTTACTTATTGTTTTTTGGAGCATTCACTCTTAGAACCTCAAGGCTAGCATCCTGTTAGAAGCCCAAGCTATATGGAAAGGCACTGAAAGATATAATATGTCCTCTAGGGGAGAGGAAAAGATCAAAAGATTGATAGGTGACTGGATGGATGGATAGATAGATAGATAGATAGATAGATAGATAGATAGATAGATAGATAACAAAGGCAGCAGATATGTAATATCTTGGAAGGAGATCTTCCAGACGCAGCTACTCTAATTACCACCATGCGAATCAGAGAACGGCCCAGCTGAACAGTGTTGCATCATTTATCCTTAAGTTTCTTCTATCTTCTGTACTGTAGCCAGTTATTTGTCTTAAAATATATTTATATCATATTACCATGGTTAGCACTTTTCAATAGCTTCTCAATGCTTTCAGTATCAAAATCAAAATCTTCAAACATTATCTTCAATGTCCTGAATGATATATCCCCACTATCTGCCCCACTCTTTGACCTACAGTTACATTTACTAAGTTCCTCCAATATGCCATACTTCAACTCAGAATCTTCATATCTGCAGTCCCCTCTACTAGAAGCCCTTCTTCCATTTATTGGGCTTTTCTCTAGTTAACTCTTACTCATTTTTCAGTTTCAAATATCAGTTTCTCGTGAAAACCTTCCCGTGTTCCCCAGGCTAGATCTGTCTCCCATAGCTCCTATATTTCTCCAACAGAGCAATCATATATTAATTAAATAATCCGTCATGAAAAAGATATTATCATTTATCTTTTTTTGCTAGAAATGCAAGATGTAACAGATCAAGGACTGTACATCTTGTTTTTCATTATATTCATATTGCCTTGCACCATTATTTGACATGATAGACATGCAATAAATATACTTCTCAGACTTCAAATGTGCAGATGAATCACCTGGAGGTCTTGTTAAAATGCAGATTTTGACTCAGTAGGTCTGGAATGGGGTCTCAGAATCAAGTCTCTGTTTCTAACAAGCTCCTAGATGATGCCATTGCTGTTGGTTCTGTGGACCACTCTGAATAGCAAGGCTATATAAGAATCATAATTAAGTCCTGTGGGTAACATGGAGTAACCAATTGGGATTAGTTAATATTTTAAACCTGTGCTATCATTTTAATTTGGTTCAATTAATTTCAACAAACAATTATTGAGCCAGCTATTTCCCAGGATAGGTTAAACATGAATAAGATATGGTCAGTGCACTCAGAAAGATTACAGTATAATGGGCATAACTAAAATATAAACAAATCAATGTGGAAAATGTACTATAATAAAAGTAGAACATAAAGATGTATTTGGGCACAAAAGAGGAAGTTCTCAACTCAAATTGGGGAGCTCAGGAAATTTGAAACTCATTGGTAATTTACCACAACTGTAAACCACTGTGCTGTTTTGTTTTGTTTTGTTATCCTATGCATGTCCACCTGAACTGAGGTATTAGAAAATTAGTGACTTCAATAATTAGCCTGACTTCCATATTCCATTTTCAGAATGAGTTATGAAACAGTTTAGTCCTCTTGTGTACTATGGGAAGCATGTTTGTTTGTTGTCTTTTACTTGTTTCTGATGTCTGTTTATCTCTTTCATTTTCTGGATCAAGTTGCTGTACAATCTGTCATTTCTATCTTCAACTTGGTAAATCCTTTCCAGTCTTTATAGTTAGATTTGAATTAGAAAACAAAATGTGCTAGAAAAAGCAATAAGAGAGTGATGAAGATGGGCAGAGACTTGGGTGGAGACCTTGATTCAGTAGTTTGGTCTTTCAAGGAGAAATAATTCTCTTTCTTCTTGCTTGGATGTTTATGCAATGGGATGAACCTTTTTAAAAATTAGAGGCAGGGTTTCCCTCATTCAAAAGTTGGGGTACAGAACCTCATTTCAATGTTTGTGTGTACCCTCAGCTTTATCGCCCTAACATTCCCCTGGGCTTCTCTAGGGAATAATTATCACTCTTTTAAGTTCTTCATTTTCCAGCATAAAACCTTCTTTAACCGCTTTTAAAACATTTCTCATGAGAGGAAGCTAATTAGATACACCCTTCTGGTTATTATTTAATCATTATTTTTGGAGCACCCAAAATGTTCTAAGTATAAGCAATTTCTAGCACCAAATCCTTATTCAGAAATTAGTTATTTCTTAATTTGGGCCCTTGAAACCACATTGCTTATCCCATTTATTAATATTTATTAGCACCCGCAAAGGGCAAGGTGCTCACCTTTTTTGAGAACATAGAACCACCATAGTTCCTTTCCTGTGAGGGCTCTTTGTGCCTTGCCTCATCTCGCTTTTCCAGTCAAACCAATGTGTTACTTCAAAATAATCTCTTTGACCCAAGTTTGTATGAAACACTTTCCCCTCCTTTCACATGCATCTACTAGATTTTTGTTGCCCATGAATGAAATTTAAATTCATTTGCATTTCAAGCATTTATTTAATTTTTTCCTGCTATTTCTGCAACAGTGAAGCCATTTCCTAAAATTCATGCCTTTTTCAGAATGTCTGCTACTTAAATGAGAAGTAAAAAGAGGGAAAGATACCTTCAGGCTTGGATTTTTGTGTCTACTCATATCCCTCTGGCTAGAAATCCACTTTCCCTAAAGTTGTGATGGCAGCTATTTAGCTTAGGAGTCAGTGATGACATGTTTTTATACAAGATATGTGTCTTAGGAAAGCAACACGCCTCTGTTCAGAAGAATCAGCACATTTTCACCTTCTACTTTCCAAAACGCAGCCACAGCACTCAGCTCTAAGGGTCTCCTGTGTTCAGGAAGGTAGAGAGAATAGTTGCTCCAGCTAGAAATGTAGATCATATTCTCAGAGGTTGAATATTATTACAATTACTTTTTTCCAGTTTATGTTTCCATTTCAATGATAATACATATATAATTCTGAATGATCTGCCTGCCAACCTTATAACTAGGTCCTGCCCATAGGATGTCAGTGCCAGTTATGATTTATGTTGATGAATAGATTGGTGCCCATTGCTTTCAAAAGGGATAGAATTTAATTTTAAGCCTATGGTGTTAAATAAGTACTGCCACTACGATTAATGCTGGGTGGCTAACTGATGTGCATGTATATTCTTAAAGATGCAAGAATTATCCAACTTGGGCAACCTTGGTTAATTAAAGGCATGGACCCTGAGAAAGACACTCCGGTATTCTAATTCAAGTTCTGGCAATTTACTAGCACATTCGCTGTTTCGAAAATCTCTTTGCATTTGTGAACTTCGGTTTCCTCACCTATGAAAGGAGGTTTACAAAAGAGCTACTACGACTATAGGAGTGCAGTAAAGATTCAGATAATGCATGGGTGCTTATCTGGTGCATAACGGGTATTTAGGAAGCGATAGCTACAATTATTATTATATTTTGTCCCGTAAATCAATTTAAGTTCAGCACCTTCTGCACTAATTTTTTTCCCTCTGAAGATGGGGAGATGCTTAAACCCACGGGCATAATTTTTGAAATAGAACTGACTTCCGATGAGTATCATAAAGCTACTGGCCATATATCTTGTTTAATACAGTGTATTATCTACTTTCAATATAGGTCTCCTTTATTATTACTTGAATACTGTGACAACTGTTACCCCTATTAATACTTCTGGAGATTTCTGAAAGTGGTAGGAATATAGAAACCCAATGGAAGAATGAAAACCAAAGAAATCAAGAATAGTTACCTGCAGAGTGAAGAATGAGTGGTACTCACACTGGTTTACTATATTTATCTCACTATTACATTCTATGTGGTCCCAAACTAGTTCTCTCATTCACACAGGCAGCAAGAAATTCTTCACTAGTCCTAATAAAATAAAAGACAAAATTGCAGCGGAAAGATATATCAAGACAGTAATCTATTGGTTTAGATAGATCAAATGCCTGACTATATTGTTTATGGGAAATAAGTGTTATCCCTACTCCTCACACTTTGCTGTTTTCTGAAATGGATCCACTTTGAGATGTGATTTTTCCCCCAAGTTAGTCCAGTTGGATTCCATCTATCATAATTGTGATGAATAGCAAGTGATTTGTTTCATTACCTTTTTAATGGCTGTAGTGGGAACATTGGAGCTATTACATGAAAAGCTGTGGTTGTGTTGTTGAGAAGCTTCCAAGGATAGAATTTTCTCTTCACTCTTTGTTTTTGCAATAGGCTCTCTTGCTCCAACAGGGATGCACACTGAGTTTTAAATCCTTTTCCGCTTGACTTGAGGGAATTTGCTTTTGTATCTGTATGTCACTGAAAAGTCCAGTATGCAGGCACTTTCCAGCCAGCCAGGACATGAAAATGGCATAAGCAACATAAGTGCTGGAATTGATGTAAAAAATTACCATTCCTGATAGATAACAATGGAGCAAATACATTTTAAAAAGTAACATACACATCTGAAAAATGACTACAATTCTCATGAACCTCTTTATTTGGTCCAGTACCAACTTTTATATCTGAGGGTCTCTTTTATAAATCAGTAAAAAGCTGAGTGGAGCTGGCCTCGGAGAAGACAAGATGCATAGGATCTTGAAAAGCATTTGTATGATATATTCATGAAGGGGCTAAGGCTGCCTTATGTCTTTCATGCCAAGCATAATCTTAAACAAGTTTCGACCTTAACTTAAAGATATTTTAATGTATCCATTTGACTCACAAACTCAAGCTCATATTAAATTTAAAATAAAACCCCTCAAAGCTCAGTTTCTAAAACACATCAAGTAAGATTTTATACATTTTTTAATTAATCCAGATGTCATCAAAGGTAATTCTTAATTAGCTGACTGTCTACCCTTGAATCAATGACAATGGTGGTTACCAACAGCGGGGGAACAAGACAGGCCTTGTTACCTCTGGGTCATTTTAAAGGTGATTTCAATTTTCTCAGTAACTTTCATTCCTAAGGGTAGAATGCTGCTGTAACTCAGTCATTGGAAAACGATGACCTTTTTGAATACAGCTTAATTGTAATCACTTCCTTAGTAGTTTTAACTTTTTAACTAACCTACAAGCATACCCAAAAGTTGCTAACAAATATTTACCAGAAATTCAAGAATGAAGACAATTTACTGGAATCATCTTGAATTTAATAGTCTTTGTTATCCTAAAGCCTATAGTGCTTTCCTATGGATTATTTCACCTGTGTTAACACCATCCTTGGAAAATTTGTAGGAAGGCTGGTCTTGCCTTAGTTTTAGAAATGGGAGAGAGGATACAAAGTGGGTGACTAACTCAAGCCTATGCAATAACAGGACATAGACCCCACACTTTCAGACTGTTCTGTGCCCTTAGACCTGCCCATGATAAATGTGCCTAGTGGGCACCTCTTTTCCTTTGAAAACATGCATATTCGTGTGTTTGAAGTCAAACAAGACTATTGACATGGACTACAATGTGTTGAAAAGAAGGGGCAGCTAAAAAGAATGATAAAGGCACTTGAAAGAAAAAAATGTAATAATTGAAATGTCTTCTGTCTTAAGAGAGAGGGAAAGAGAAAGAGAGAGAGAATAGATAGACCGTATATGAAGCAAAGAAAACAAGAAAATAAACATAAAATGAAAAATGCAATTGATTTTGTATCTTCAAATGCTTAACTTACAGGATGGGAGAACACACAATTTAGCTTGTTTGGGTTTAGTCCTCCTAATATATTCTACAGAGTAATTTATTTTCAGGAGAAGCCTCACTGCAGTGCCCCTATTATGATAATGGGAATTTATGCACATGAGTATTTGTGATCACATCACAGAGCAGTTTTTGGGAGAACTATGGGGGAAGGGGAAAATTAACATTACAAAAATAGAGATGAAGGCTTAAAAAAACCTCTATACTCTCAATCTATCACTTAATCTATCTACACACACACACACACACACACACACACACACAATTCCATGGTGAATTATCTTATTTGGGCTGAGTGCTTCTCTAGTGAAGAACAAAACTTGTGAGTAAAAAGCGGCATAATGCATCAAATGCTTGCATGGATTTGTTGATGAGAAGGTCGCTGCCCCTGAGATTGGAAAACATAGCTCCAGCAGCCCCAGACCTCTCTGACCACATTCACTTTGCTTACTCAGGAGCAGACAATGACAGGCAGGGAGTTAGGGGGAGGGGATGAATCAAAGCCCCTCTAACTCCTTGTCTCTCTGCTAGAATTGCTGTCAGCCTGGTGAGCTGACATCAAGTAGAGGATCAATCCAGTAGACACAAGATGAAAATGTAAACAGGGAAAAGCTCTCTGTGTGCTCTCTCTCTCTCTTTCTTCCATCTCTTTCTCTCTATCTTTTTACACAAAATCCAGACATTTCAGAGCGTAGGTGTTTTTTCCTGTCATGAATGAAGAATGCTCAGCACTCAAAGTCACTTAACAGTAGGATCATCTTT
Source organism: Homo sapiens (assembly GCF_000001405.40). Classification (NCBI taxonomy): domain Eukaryota; kingdom Metazoa; phylum Chordata; class Mammalia; order Primates; family Hominidae; genus Homo; species Homo sapiens. The sequence continues at coordinate 98,295,747 of NC_000006.12, read as the reverse complement.
AGAGCACAGTCACACAGCTTTTAATAAATTGTGTATGGCGATTTCAAGATTGTGTTATAGAGTGTGCCAATATCACTACACACAGTAGATCACTCCAAATACGAATACCTGTGGGGAAAATTATGGTAAAGTCACAGCTTGAGTACATTATTGAAAATAAAGCTTATTGAAGTTGCTGAACTAATAGGTCCATGCACCAAAGTTTATGGGCACAAGTCAGCTGTCACTGAGTAGGCTAAGGGAGACATAATATTCTAGTCATTTCTCTGGTGGAAGGAACATTAGCTTATTCTCTCCCTTAATTGATATTCTGCAACTGAATCAAGCACTGCTGATTGCTGACCAGCTCACACGTTCCCCATATGTCTCCAGATTGCTAAACTCAGAAATGTGAGACTGCATCGCTGAGTTAGTTTGAGGACAGCCAACCTCAAGAGTGGTTACTGGACCATTTGTTCCTATAAAAAAACAGATGAAAATCAGGGTATGGAAAAATGTGCATTTTCACAATGTTCATTAAACCTATTGGCTCATATTTGGGACACAATTAAAGGATTAAACCTGATTTTACTAGATAAACATATTTGAAAAGTTTAAGTTTGCCAGATCAGATGAAATATACTGTGCAAGAATTTTCTTTTCTTTTTCTATTTCTGTCCCTTGGTATAAATTCCCGTACTTATTTCCTTATAAGTAGTGAAACAAATTATGGACACCGTTAGCAAAGTTAACCATATGTTAGAATAACTTGCTTGTTTTATTGTTTATTAAAAATTGAGTTGCTAAAGGTAAAAAAACATAGTGCAGAATATCCTATTATCACCATCTTGGAGTCAAGAGCTAAAATTACTTCTTCAACCACAAATAAAAATATGTTAATTTTTTTGTTTTAGGAAAAACTATCAAATATTACTATAATACCAAAAACAACCTAAAATGCAAGTTATTAATTTAAGGCAATATCAGTGTGTATTCTCATGTGCTCTTTTAGCATATTAATTGTCCCAACAACCATATAGCACAAGGTATTTTTAATTTACATTTTACAGATGAAAAAGCAGAGATTTTAAAAGAGGTCAGTATCTTGATCACTGTCTCACAGCCCATCTGAGGAAGAGTTTGGTCTTGAACTCAGGCAGGCTGTCTTATATCAGACCTCAAGTCTTAACTTTCTGTTATATCCATCCTTCAGTAACATTATATACATTGTAATTATTGAATTTGGTCATATGTTCCATGTATTTTCACCATCAAAAATGTTTATTTAAAAAGGATAATAAGCCCAGTCGCGGTGGCTCACATCTGTAATCCGAAAGCTTTGGAAAGCCGAGGCAGATGGACCCCTAGAGGCCAGGAGTTCAAGACTATCCTGGATAACATACCAAGACACTATTGCTACAACAAATTTTTAAACATTAAAAATTAGCCAGTGCACACCTGTAGTCCAAGCTACTCGGGAGGCTGAGGTTGGGGGATCTCCTGATCCCAGTAGTTTGAGGTTATAGTGAGCTATGATTGTGTTACTGCACTCCAGCCTGAGCAACAGAACATGATCTTGTCTCTAAAAATAAATATATAAACACATAAATAAATAATATAATAAAATAGGACAATGGGTATAATATTTTAAACTCTTAAATCTTTTAAAATGGACTCTATCTGAACTTGCTGTTGTAACAAACTGAAAAGTAACATCTATAAAATATATTTATTGTGACCAGACTAACCAATATGGAGAAACCCCATTTCTACTAAAAATACAAAATTAGCCAGGTGTGGTGGTGCACACCTGTAACCCCAGCTACTTGGGAAGCTGAGGCAGGAGAATCTCTTGAACCTGGGAGGCTGAGGTTGCAGTGAGCCAAGATCACATCATTGCACTCTAGCGTGGGCAAGAAGGGTGAAACTCAGTCTCAAAAAAAAAAAAAAATAAAAAAAATAAAAAAACATATATAGAGAGAGAGAGAGAGAGAAAAAGAGACACACTGTTTTATTAACCTAATTTTTCTTACTTAAAAAAAAGCCAGATGATTCTAGATTAGTCATGATAATTAGGAGTGTCACTTATGTTTACATGGTTACTAAGTGTAAATCATGATAAACTGCTGATGACTTGCAAGTAGCTAAGATATGATGGATCATGGTGTGACTAGCTTTGAGATCTAGATTTTTGTTTGGGAATATTTCAAAAATAAAGAATATGGCTTTCCCAAAGGAGTTATAACATCTCTTTGATTTAATCAGTTGGCATTATTTGCATTATGCTCTCAGAGAAAGAATTCTCTAGTTTCACTCATCTAGAGAAAACAATAATATTCTTGATATTTTCAGTAGTGAAGAAAATCATCATTTTCTTCATGGGAACCATTTGGTGAATACTGCAAATAATTTCTCAGCAAAATATGATTCATTAAGGTAATCTTAAAATAAAGATGAAAACAAACAACAAAGCAAAAGAGATCTTATATAATTTAATAATCTCAGTACCTAATCATACACAACATTAACCTCTGCTTCTTATTAAAATCAAAAAGAAAGAGCTTCTACATTCATGGTGTCCCCAGAAAACAGAATAAATTGTTCTAAAATATTTTGAAGGAATTCAAGAGATACAAATTCCTTCATGTAGTTTTTAGTCTTGTGCTGTTCTTGCCATCATTCCCCTTCACCATGATGAGATGGGGGTCATGAGACTCGCTCACTTGTTTCACACAGTGGCGTTTGAACAGAGCTATCACTTACTGCATGTTTGCTCTGTGTCTTAAACAAATAAAGCAGAGAAATGAGTAAAGTTTTGTTACCACCAGAGCCTACTGAGAAGCAAATCATATTCTCAGGTCTAGAATGAAGTCTTACTGAGTGTTGGTGAAGGAAAAAAAAAGTAAGTGTCAAAAAAAAAAGAGATTTCCAGAATTTTCTTATTAGGCGGACAGCTGAAACAGAGTCAAGGAAAGTGATTCCAAAGTGCTGCTTTATATGAATAACTCCCATTCTACTCATCATTTAAACAGATAGTACACAATTCTATCCCTTCTAGCATTCCCAGTAAATATAGCCTCCAACTTACCAATGGGTTTTCTTACAAAAATTCATTTGTTAGATGGTGATGTGGGATCCCGAATGCCCTTTCCCAAAGAATCAATGTTACAAATCATTGTTGGTTTTAAGGCTGGTCCACCAACGTCTGTTAAAAAAAAGATATATATTCTTCAGCTGTACTAGTGTGGACTGCTGGGGACTTGGAATGGAGATCTCTGAAGTCTGAGAACTGGGATGGGGATAATTCATTTTGCACAGGAAAAGGAAAGAGCAAGAGACTTTCTTTCCTTTTTCTTGGGCACAAGGTAGCTCACAGATATGGTGACCATGGGTTCTGAATTTAACATTAGGGCACATGGCCCAAAAAGATTTTTTTTTCTATGACAAAAATAAAATTGAAAAATAAAAACTTTTCCTCCCAGAATATTCTTCTGATATATGGGGATAGTTTTAGAAATCAGTACTATACAAGTAGATTTAAATCCAGTAGATTTAGATGCTCTATAATCACAACATTTTGAAGAGAGAAAGTTGGTTGGTTTTTGTTCGTTTTGATTTGTTTTGAAAGCCCAGAAAGAAGCAGGAACCAGGAGGCCGTTACAGTTGACCAGAAGAGAGACGATGGGGCCTGAAATAAAGTCAAGCCAGATGGGACAGAGAAGAAAGAGCAGACCAATTTAAGATGGACTGTAAGAGGTGAAAATATCAAAACTTATTTTTTTGGCATTAGCAAGAAGGAGGAGGTTGTATGCCCCAGAAAGGCGATTGGGTGGAAGGACTGGGAAAAGGGAGGAGGGGATGGATCAAGATCGGTGATGAAAGAAAAGGAACCAACGAGCAGAAAAGAAAATGAGCCTGCTCTTGGTCAGTTCTCTCAGGCCATTCTTACTTTATACAGCTCTCGTCTTTTCCACACTTTGGACTTTACTGATTCTCTAAAAAGCACTACGATTTTAACAGTGTAATCCATGAGAGTAGCACATAGTTTACTTGGGAGAGGAGCCATTACAGAGGACCTATAAAAATGCCAGGTAGTATGCTGGATTTTTTTCCTTGCTTTTCATTTGATCTCCACAACCATCCTATGAAAGAACTGTAGTCCTTTTATTATAAATGTGATAACCGAAAATCAGAAAGGTAAAGGAACTTGATCAAGGTAGTAATTAAGCTGGCATTGAAGACAGATCTTCATGACACTAGCATCAGTATTTTTTGAATCACTTTATCCTGTTACCTTGTGTGTCCATGAGTCATGTCTCAATTTAATTCAATTCAGTCAATTCAGTCATAAATTCAAAAAGTGTCTGATGAATACCTGGGATATGCTAGATACTCTCCTTGATACTAGTAATATAGAGAACAAAGACCTAGGCCCTGCCCTTAAGAAACTGTCAATTGTGAAGTAGCCTTTCAGAAATTTGAAAGCAAGAAGACCACTCCTGGGAAAGAATCACAGATGATTTAAAAAAAAAAAAAAAGTAACGAAGCATGATCTTGTGACCAAAGGTGAGCAGAGTTTCCAGGACAGACACCCAGAAACACTTGCTGGAACACTACAGGGCCTATGCTTCATAAAGCCCGTGGGCAAAGGCAGTACTACATTGGTAATGGTTGTCTAGGGTACTGAAAGAATGTAGACATTGAAATGTAGGCGATCTGGGCTTTAATTTTAGCTTAGCTAATTATTAACAATGTGACTGTGGACCAATCATTTAGTTTTATGCGTGAAATGGGTACAACATTGTGAGAATTAGACATGGCTTACGCAAATAAAAAGCCAACAGGGTGCCTACCTTATGATAAATACTCAGTAAATTTTAGCTATTATTACTGTATTTAGTATTTTTATTTATTTTTAATTTTTAATTTTTCTGGTTATATAATAATTTACGTATTTATGGGGTACGTGTGTTTTTTTTTTTTTTTTTTTTTTTTGAGACAGAGTTTTGCTCGTCACCCAGGCTGCAGTGCAATGGCACAATCTCAGCTCACTGCAACCTCTGCCTCCCAGATTCAAGAGATTCTCCAGCCTCAGCCTCCCGAGTAGCTGGGATTACAGGTGACTGCCACCATGCCCAGCTAACTTTTGTATTTTTTTTTTAGTAGAGACAGGGTTTTACCATATTGGCCAGGCTGGTCTCAAACTTCTGACCTCAGGTGATCCACCCACCTCAGCCTCCCAAAGTGCTGGGATTACAGGCGTGGGCTACTGCACCTGGCCACATGTGATATTTTAATACATGCATACAATATGTAATGATCAAGTCACCCTGACTTGGTATTTGGTATATTTGTCACCTTAAGCGTTTATCATTTTGGGGGTTGGGAACATTATAAAACCACCCTTCTAGACATTTGAAATATACAATAAATTATTGTTAACTATAGTTGCCCTACTTTGCTACTGAACACTAGATCTTATTCCTACTATCTAACTGTACTTTTGTATCCATTATTTAACCTTAATCCCTCATTTCCCACTATCCTTTCTAGCCTCTGGTAACCATCATTTGACTCTCCACCTCCATGAGATCAATATTTTTTAGCTCCCACATATGAGAACATTCAATATTTGTCTTTTGTGCCTGGTTTGTTTCAATTGCCATAATGGTCTCCAGTTCCATCCACGTTGCTGACAATGACAGGATTTTATTCTTTTTGTTGCTGAATAACATTCTGTTGTGTATATGTACCACATTTTCTTTATCTATTGATCTGCTGATGGACACTTAGTTTGATTCCATATCTTGGCTACTATGAATAATGGCTACCACAAACATGGGAGTGCAGATATCTCTTTGATATACTGATTTCCTTTCTTTTGAATAGATACCCAGCAATGGGATTGTTGGATCATATGATAGTTCTATTTTTAGGTTTTTGAGAAACTTTCATAGTGATTTTCATAGTGGCTGTAGTACTTTACCTTTCCCACTAAGAGTATATGAGCATTCCTCTTTCTCTGTTTCCTCTCCAGCATCCATTATTTTTTGTCTTTCTGGTAATAGCCATTCTATGTTGGGTGATAATATTTTATTGTGGTTGGTTTTTATTTGCATTTCTCTGATAATTAGTGACACTGAGCATTTTTCATATACCTGTTGGCCACTTCTATGTCTTCTTTTGAGAAATGTCTATTCAAATCTTCTGACCACGTTTTAATCACATTATTTGTTTTCTGCTATTGAGTTCTTTATATATTCTGGTTATGAATCCCTTGTTAGTTAAATAGTTTGTACATATTTTCTCACATTCTGTAGATTGTTTCTTAACTTCATTAATTGCTTCCTTTGCTGTGCAGAGGCTTTTTAGCTTGATGTGATTTTATTTGTCCATTTTCACTTTGATTGCCTATGCTTTTGAGGTCTTACTCAAGAAACCTTAGCCCAGTCCAATGTGCTGGGGAATTTCCCCAGTGTTTTCTTCTAGTTTCATAGTTTCAGGTTTTACATTTAAGTCTTTAATCCATTTTGATTTGATTTTCATATATGGTGAGAGATAGAGGAATAGTTTCATTCTTCTGCATAAGAATATCTAGTTTTTCCAGCACCATTTGTTGAGAAGATAGTTTCTTCCCCAATGTATGTTCTTTACTCCTTTGTCAAAAATGAGTTCACTGTAAATGCATGAATTTATTTCTTGATTTTCCACTCTGTTCAATTGGCCTATATATTTAGCAGTTTTAGATACCATTCACCACACTTCTGAATGGAAAATGAGACAACCTATCCATACTGAGGATTCCAACTTATCTGAGATACAGGGCCCAGCAGAAGTTAACAGACAAAGGAGAAGTCAGAAATTGCTACCCAAAATTTAAAAGATCTTAAAGATCAGATGCAAAGTTTTGATCAGATAGGTAGTACTTCTTCCACTGATTTATTTAATTGGTTAAATCTTGACTGCAGGGAATCTCTGTTTTGGGGTATTTTTCAAACTTTTGGTATTATCCTCTTGTTAATCATAATGATAATATCTCTTGTCTATCATATTCTCTCAAGAATCTTTAACACTCGTCATCAGCTACTGACTCACAAGATGCTCTCCATGCAGACTGAACAACAAAGATGACATAAACTCAAATCATCATTTAAAAAAAAACTAGGATTAAAACTGCTTTGCCATCCTTAGATGCCCATAGAAAGACAAACAACACGTGTTAATGAGGAGTAACACTAAATAGTTAACCACACTCACAGTTCAACTGAGAGGATGACCAAAAGTGGGGACTTGTTAAAATAAAATGAAGAAAAGGCTTAAGAATCCTCTGAGCAGAGGAAGTCAGTTAAGCCATGGAAGCAACCTGGCCCTTGCTTAATTAGAAAACATAAGTGAAAGTTAATGTAGGCTAATTCCTGCAAATGCCTGTATTAAACACACACACACACACACACACACACACACACACACACACACCCCAAACTTAAGCTCAACCAATCAGAAGCTGCCAACTAACTTATATAACTAGAAACTTTCCATTAGGATAGACCAAATAAGACAACTGTATAACCAATCAACTATTTTCTTTGCTTTATTTCTGTATTCACCCTCCAAATAACTTCCCCTCGAGTTTCCTTAGCAGAGCCCAAAACTACCTTCAGTTCGGTGCTGCCCAACTCATGAATGGCTGTTTGCTCAAATAAACTCTTTAAAATGTTATTATGCCTGAGCTTACCTTTTAACATGTGAAAGAGTTAGAGGTGAAATCCATCGCCTTTCAAATACACAGAACACACTAATGATCCATTTTCTTTTGAAGTTTGTTTGTGATTTCAGTTTTTTTCCTCTAACAGTAATAGGACTATCCTAATTCCTGTGGCATGCATTTGAACTCCCAGTAACAATATATGATTTTTTGTTTAGAGGACAGGGGTAGTCCCTGTGTAGTGTCCAACAGCTCTAGTTAGAACTGTGCCTTCATTAGAACCTAGTCCTGAAATTTTTTTTCTCAATTCACTGGCCCAGACATGAGCAACATTTTCACCAACTGGTAAGACAGGCTTATTCAAAACCAGGGCTGGAACTCAGCCAATCTACCAGTACAGAAGTGCTGCTGCTCATCACAGCAGAACCTCCTTTGGTAAAAGATCTGTGGAGAATGAATGACAGCTAGATCTCTAAGCCACTGCTGTACAGTGAACCGAAGAAAAGCAAAGGCAGGCAAAGAAAAAATAGGAATACTCTAAGGTTTCTAAGCTGCTCAACTTCCAACCACCTGGCATGGGTGGGGGACCATGGAGCTGTCTGGGCAGTTTAGCATTCAGCAATCAGAAGTGACTTGGTATTTTACAACAAAACATCTGGGCAGCTGACAAGTCTAAAAGTCCTGGAAATTAAAGAGCCATCTTTATACCTGCAAAGTGTTGTACATTGGTTTCTTCTTCCACCCTTATTTGGAGAGCAATCATGATCAGAAACAGCATCCTCAAATATTGAGGGAGTGGGACTCTGCAAATTGGCTCTGAGACAACTTTCCTCATGTGTGAGATCTACCTAACAAATAAAAAACCTAAAGCCACTAGATGAAACAATACATTGTCAGAATTGCATCGTGTTATATCATCCATGATTTTGTGTTAAATAATTTTGTGAGGAAACAAAGTTTTCCAACAGGGTTTGTAACTAATTTTCAGAAAATGTGTCTATATTTTACTAGAAAAGGATAGTATGCTTCTGGTTCAAAACATAAACAGCAGCATATATCAAAGAGCAGATAAAGATATCAAGATTATAGTCTCCATGTAGCTTTAAAATTTTTATCTAGACATATTTAAATGCTAGTCTTGAGATTTGTATCGCATGTGAAATTTCTTCAGTCATCTTGAGGGGCTGTTACGCACCTTCCAATCTTCCTGTAATTAAGGCAGTAGTTTTGTTGTCATCTTGTCACAACTCATGAGAAAAACTGTGAAAACTCAAGAGCATATGCAGTAGTAAGTCAGTATTAGACAGCTATATGTAATTTTGCTTTGCGTTTTGAGGCATTTCATTGCACCTGTGAATAGTCAGCTCTTTCATCCCCATTAACTACTTCCCCACTTCCATCCTCAAAAGAGCCTAAAGATTCTTTTTTTGTTGTTTTCTTAAAGTTTCTAAAAGCCATCTTGTTTCACTTGCTTCCAGGATGTTTTGTGGACTCAGACATTGGTGAATAGAAATAAATAGAGTTTTGATTTAGAATTCACTAAAATTAAGACTTTATCCTCTATAAATTTTATGGAATTTTAAATAATATATGTATTGTAAAATTAAGTTAGAGCTATTCAGATGAATTTGCAAATATTCCATAATATGGCAATCATGCACTGGCAAATTATTTTTTAATATTTTATAATGTTTTGGTAAAAGCAAACTCTGTCACATAAAGAATGTTGATGTGTAATACCAAACAATAAATGACAAGCCTGTACCTTTATTATTTGATGGGCCTAGACAGAACCATCTACACAATAGGAAGTTTTTGCTTGGCTCATGTTACTTCCAGATATCGAAAACATGTTATAAGTTCCTAGAGATTAAATAATGACCAATAACTTAATGCCAAATCAGAAGATCCTTCAAAGAAAGTCCCAAGGATTTAAAATTTATTTGGTTTTATTATAACTTGGAGCACAGATCTGTATGAACATGACAGTGCACATAGCTAGAGAACAGATTTATAATTGGAATTGTTGGTAGGCAGAGAATGACATTAAATTCTCAAATACAAGAAACCTGACAATGACTTCACAAATATAAAATTGGTCATGATTTATGAGAACACTATGGCTTAAAAAGACCCAAGAACTAACCAGGAGTCAGTAATGCCCACAGGTAATTGATTATTGGTCTTGAAGATGTATAAATAAGAACATAACATTAAAGACTCCGCAAAATGACTTCCTATATCCAACATGGACTAAGCCCTCAAAATCTATCATTTTATCTGCTTTTGAACTCCGTATTTTAATCAATTGATAAAGGCATAGAGGAGAAAAATGGAAATAATGAAGGTGCTAGAAAATGGATGGTAATAAGATAATGCAAAATTACTGGGGTTATTTAGTCTGTATGAGAAATGGAGTATGATAATTTTGACTACATGTAGTGATATTGAATTTATGGGAGAGTGGAAATTGCCATTAGTACCAAATCTGGAATATAATATAATGGTTTAAAAATAATTGGTAATTAATTTATTAGAAAAGTCTTGATAAATAAATACCCTGAGACCTTTGACTAAGTTAAGAGGAACAAAGGAGACCATATAATTATTATTCTGACAATGAATGCAAAGTTCTTAAGATGGGTAGGTGAAGTTCTTGGAAGAAACGGAGATTTGATGAACTTTAAATCATTTCTAGACCTTTCATATTTGTGACATCTGTAGCCAAATCTAACTTGCTCATTCCAATTCAGCTTTTTGAGATCTGTAGGCCCAAGTGCCCTTAACAATTAAAAAGAAATACTAGAATGCTTTGAGAATTGGCTGTGGGAGGCACCGGGTTCAGTCCCAGCGTAATTATCTTCCTGTTTCTTTTGCCTCCTGCCATTTTTCATTCCTGACTTCCATTTTGTATAATTCATATATCACTTAACTTTTGTGCTTTCTCGGGTTTGGAACAGTCTATGGTAACCTAACCGTAACAACAAGCATTATACCATAATGAATAATGCTTTCTTCCTTTTATCCTCTATTTAAAAAAATAAGAATTTCCTAGTGAAGAAAGATAAATTCTTCCTAGTGCCTGTCACTTGTTCATTTCTTACTATTATCTCTGCCTTCAGGGTTTTCTGTGGAGTATCTTTGATGTGATTTCTCCTAAAGCCCGAAAAAATCAACTATTGCCTAAAATAATTTTTTCTTTAACATTTATACCTGACTAAAGATGTGACACACTCTTTTCGGTCTTCAGTGATAGAGTAGCTGAGATCAGTACTTACGTGGCTGAGATTCTTGTGTATACTGAGATTAAGATGTTCTAGAGAGAATCTTAATCTTAAATGAGGCAGAATTTTTTGTATTTTGAGCTTAGAGTTGATGAAAATGCATATTAGTAATTATTATAATGTAAACAATTGCTACTTTCATCAATAGTTTTTTTTTCTGCTACTACATATGGCTCCTTCAAAGAATTTTAAGCCTTTTATTTAAGGTTTACTTTCCCCTGTTAAATACTCTCCATCTTTTGAAGAAGTCATGCTTCCTATAAAATCTCACATATTTTACCATCTAGGGACTCATTATGATATTTAGAATGACCTAAAGATTTGGGAATGCATCTACTTGTGCTTAGGAGAAAGTTTAACATATCCCTTTAGAATTATTTATTTTTCCTTTCTTGTCAATAAATATTTATTGAAATAAAATATAGGTTTTAAATAAATTTTATTTTAAAAGGCCACATGATCTTCTGAGCCTGTAATTTCTTTTCTTCATTCAGTTTCATTTCAGATTTTCTTATGCCTCTGCTTTTGGCTATTAGATATTTTTATCATTGTCTCCTTCCAGCTCAAAAACATACTCATTTCTATTCCATATACAGTCAGTATTCACTGTGTTTAAAAATAAATGGCCAACTTCATGTTTTCAAATTCTGCTTTTGTTACATATTTTTGTGAAATATTTCTAAAGATGAAAAGAACTGTAAAGGTCAAACTACTGAACCATTTACTGCCTTATGCTTCCCACTTCAAAGGTTTTTCTATTTAACTCTAAGGTAAAATTATTTCTTGATTTTTACTCCAAAAATGTTTTCTTTAGTCCATAGAAGAAATGCAATTTAAAATTTTAATTTATATAATACTGAAGAGAAAACTGTCATCAGATTTACTTATTAGCTTGCTTTTATTTGGATTTAGCTTTCAAGATGTAAGAAATATTTTCTGCATTCCTCCAACACGAAAATTTGTGAATTGGCTCCCATCAAGTAGTGGGTTGTATTATAATGTACCATTTTCATAACTTTAAGGCTTCTTTGATCATTAAAAGAATCACTATCCTTAATTTTTGCAAGGGACTTTAATTATTGGTGGTTATTTCATATTTTGATTAATTTTGGTTTTTAATTTTCACTACCTGTCATGCCATGTTTTGTCATGATACTTTAGTTGGGTGCCATTTTAATTATTATTCTAGGGATTCATTTTCTAATGTATTATTACCTCAGTCCTTTTAGCTGCTTTCAAAAAGGCTAATATCAACTTTCAAGAGTAAAGTGTGAAGAACAGATTGCCTTCACACATTGATAATTTTGAAGATTTACAAACAAATTTAAACATATAATACCCATTAATGTGTTTAATACAATTTACTAAGATATCATAGTATAATCCTTGAAATTTGCATTAGCAACGTATTAAGAAAACATATGGTTTACATCAGTAGGTACTAATAATATCTGCAACTAATTTCAATTTACATAGAGCATTTTAAGTGAGAATAATGTTTTAAAAATCACCAAAATTCTTTTTTTTTATATTATAACATCATTTGATCATTAAGTGATATTGATTATTGGTTTGGAGTGAAAAAACTGTTTTATATATTTTTTTCTTTTTGTAAGTTGTTATATAGGGAATTATTGTGGCATAGTAAAAACAATTAATATTTTAAAAGTAAGAGAATTGGATTAGGATCTCTGACCATTATTACTACCACTTAACCGGCCTTGGGAAAGTTATTTAAATTGCATGTGTTTCTGTTTAAATATCTGTAAAACAAAGATAACTCCAGCAAGATTGAGAGTCTTCTTTAGGAAAAAGAATACCAATTTAAGGCATAGATAAAAGCAACTTAAATGTACAGTAAACTTATTTTTATACCGCTGACATTAATCATATGAACTTATACATATTTATATACTTGTATATATAGACTGTCCTCAACTTGTCATGGTTCAACTTATAATGTTTAAACTTTACGATGGTATGAAAATGATATACATTAAGTAGAAACTGTACTTCCAGTACCCATACAATCTTTCTGTTTTTCACTTTCAGTACAGTATTTCATAAATTACATGAGATAGTCAAAACTTTATTATAAAATAGGTTTTGTGTTATTTTGCCCAACTGTAAGTGCACTGAGCATATGTAAGGTAGGCTAGGTTAAGCTATGACATTTGGTAGGTTAGGTATATTAAATTTATTTTTTACTTAATATATTTTCAACTTATGATGGGTTTATAAAGATGTAACCCCACTGTAAGTCAAGGAAGAGGTGATGAGATAAATTTTGGACCATACTGGAAATGTGGTAATGTCTCTGGCACTTCCAAGCAGAGAGTTCTCAACATTTAGGTATTTGATTCTGAAACTCAGAGGAGAACCAAAGGGGTAGAGGCTTGTGTTTGGAAGATGTAAGTATGTAGGTAAGTATATAGTTAAAACCAAGAGAATGGATCACACACACACACACACACACACACAGAGAGAGAGAGATTGATCACTATGGACAATATGTAGACTAAGAAGAAATGCTATACCAGATAACTCAAGAATATCGGTTTTTAAAATGAATGCAGAGGAAAGGATTTGGAATTGAGATAAGAGAAGAACCTGGAATGATACATACCATGGAATTCCTGGGAATAGAGGGTTCAAAAAGAAAAGAGATCAAAAGTGACAAAGTGAGAAAAATTTGGGCAATGTAGGGAAATTGAAAGCTAGGTGGTAGTGAGTTGAGAACACAGACACAGTGTAAACCATGCAGAGAAGAGAGTTGGCTGAGTGAGGGAGGAAGAGGAGCTAGGATATTTGTCAAAGAGAAATACAGGATTGATGAGAAGATTTTCTTTCTTTCAGCATAGGAAAGACTTGAGCATGTTAACAGAAAAAAGTCAGTATAGAAGAAGAGCTTTGAAATTCAGGCATAAACATAAACAGATCCCCTCGGAAGCATTTTTTTCATCTTCTTAAATCCTTCTTGCCTTCTACCTACAGTATGGATTCACAGTCCCTTCTATGTATAATTGCAGGATTTTTAAATAAATATATGATTATATCTAATAGATAATTATCTATTTTGTCAATATTTCATACTAGGGAATTTGGGGGCTCATTTAATTTGTCATTAAATCCCTTTTGCCAAGAGTAGTGTTTACTGAAAGAATGTCTATGTCAAGGAAGAGATGAAATGATACAGGATAGAGAACAGAGCAGGAGGATCCATCAAATTGGAGAAGGGGATCGTGTTGTTTTAAAATTAGAATGAAATGATGAGGATGGGCTGAAATATCAAGTTGTGCTCAGAGTTCAGACCATAATTTTACTTATGTATGCAGGCCCAGATGAATCCTACTTGTAGGGTATTTTATTTTAATATTTTCTAGATTCTTTCCTGTTGGTCTTATTTTACTCCCTCTGTATTTCTGAGGTTCATTTCTTCATTGTCCAGAGCATATATGGAGAATATATAGCAAGGGGTAGTGGTGAATGGCATCACCAAATATAAATGTTTTAAAATACTGAAATTGTGAGTATTTGAACTATTTTAAAACTCTCCAGGACACTTGGTAAAGAGAGCAAAAAAAATTTTATACTGTGTTTACTCTGTTTCACAATCAAGAGCTACTTGTTTTATGTTGGACAGCTATTTATTAGATTAAAGCCATAGGTCACAAATTAGACAACATAAGAAACTGCAGATGATAGTCCACTTGCCATCAATACTTTAACCCTTCAGAAGAAAGAAGAAATAAATGCATGGCCATTGATTGTGAATCAATAATGTTGTCTTCATTTGCAAAGGACAGCACATTAGAACATGTTGATTTAGAGTTCCTTATTCCTGTTGAATAAACACACAGGTCGCTAATCATCAGCTACTAAATATATTTTCCAAAGGTGAACAAAAGAAGTGGATAATTTGATGCTTCTTAATTAAGCTCACAACCCAGTATTTTTTATACTTTTACAAGCATTTGTTTATGAAAGCTAAATGAGTATGGATTTCTGATGGAAATATTATTCCCACCCCCCATCAGCTGTGAGTGATTCTGGCTAGTAAATTATATGCTGTCCTCTGCATTGCCTTGCAAATGACCTCAATCCTGACCTTGACATAGCAGTATTTCTAAGAGAGAATAATAATTTATTCCCCATGTTAGATGAACTAAGTCCATGGTTGTTCTCAGTTATAATTCTGTACTACTTACCAAGAAAACTAGTCCTATATATTTAGATAAATGATGGGTGGAGGAGAGAGACAGATGGACAGAGGGGGAGAGAGAGAGAAACAGACAGAGAGAGAGAGAGCAGGATGACAGACATTTATTTGGACAGATTTAAAGAATAGAAGAATGGAGGTGGATATATGGCAAGGAGATAGGGGGTTGAATAGGTGGTAGAGAGGGACAAATAGGAACCTGAGTAGACAGCTAGGTAGTGTGGTTTCGTAGACATGAACATTTTCTAACTTCATATGCTTCAGTTTAGTTTTACTAAGCCCTCTATCAGGCTTCAAAACCTGTTTTCCATATATCCAAGGATATATGAAACATACACACACTCATACACACAGTCACACGTTTGAATATTACATAAGATTGTAATAATGATTTATATTCATTGAATTTCTATACCTAACACTAACATACCTGCAATGAGACTTCCACAAATTTTATTCTGACCATTAAACTTTTCCATATATCACCGCTTATATTAGCCCATTATAAAGCTTTGTTTATGTGTATGCAAGCCCCTACATTAATGTTTTGTATTCTGAAAATCTCACCCACACAGCGCCAGTCACTTAATTGCACTAATTATTACTCACACATTAGCGCCTATTAGTCAGCATGGGTTTCTTTCTTCTTCTTCTTTTTTTTTTTTTCCAAATGTTTTAGCCAGCATTCAGATTTCACTTACTTGGCAGAAACGACTAGTTATAGTGGTTTTCAAAATCTGGCAGGAAGCCTAAGAAGCGACCACTTTTGCTGTCCGAATTTCCTATTCCAGTCATCATTATAGACCTGGAGAAACAATCTGTTAAGCTTATTGTAACTTTATGGGGGAATTGTTGACATGAACTTCAGTAGGTCCCCATATTCTATTGCCAAAGCAATAGAGAACAATCTTCTAGCAAATCAGGGTTCAGTTATGTTGTGATTGATATGCAGTTATTGGTAGAAATGTCACTTATTTTACCATTATAGACTTTTTAAGTCAGCATTACTTCATGGAAACCTTAGATGAGAAACATTTAAATATATGCAGTGGCATGACCTGCCTAAATTAAATCCCAAAATATAAGATATATTAAGATAGAATTTTGAAAGCAGTTTATAATAAGAGGTTGAGAATATCCTTGAGAATTTGGACACACATGGTAATATTAAGTTAAACTTAATTTTAAATATTACTTGTAGCTTGCTGGAGATACTAATTTAAGAGCTGGCATTGATTGAGAAGCTAGTCTGTTAATTACTATTTACTGAACAATATTGAATTGTCTTATTTTCTAAATCCCTCTACACTTAAAAATATTTCCTTTGGTGGTTTAAAAAACAATTTTATGAAGTAAATTCCTAAAAAGAAACCACCACATTTGTAGACAACAAAAGCATAAAACACATCATTATATTGTCCCATACACCCAGTGTGACTGACATCGAGTATTACAGAATCTCAGAGTTAAAGGAGACCTTCAGGAAAAGCCAATAGAGAAGGGAGGTTGACGATTCATGAGGAGAGAAAACCATTCCATGACACTCTGTTGCCTCAGTTTCTTGCCCATTAGATGAAAGTCAAAATCCACCTGATAGTCTCAACTTACTAGTCAAGCTGACCTTGGGTTGAATCCTAAGCTGAGCTTCCTTACTCCCTTTAAAATAAAATCTTAAATTTGGCTCTTCAAAACACTCTATATTCTGGAGCTTCTGTTCTAAGGCAGTTAGTGCTATAATATTCTAAAGGATTAAGAGTGAAATCTCTGGGCTCCTCTGGAAGTTGGAGAGAACTATGTGGAGCAAAGGCTTTAAGTAACACAGATAGTAACAGCAGTAGGATCATAAATACAGTGCACGGGAAGTACAACTAAAAGATGAGGGGGTGAAAGCGAAATCAAAGAAGAAAACGTCCAGTTGGTACTCAGAGAAGTAAGAAACCAGTAAATGGGAAATTAAATGAAAGAGTAAACTGGGTGTGTTAGTCAGGGTTTTTCAGAGAAATAGAACCAATAGAATATATTAGGAATTGGCTTGACTATGGATGCTGAGCAGTCTCACTCTCTACTGTCTGTAAACTGGAGAACCAGGAAAATCAGTGGTGTAATTCAGTCCAAGTCCAAAGGACTGAGAACCAAACAGTTGTTGGAATAAGTACTGGTCTAAGTCTGAATGCCCCAGAATCAGGAGAGCCAATAACCATGGGCAGGAGAAGATCGATATCCGAGCTCAAACACAGAGAGCCCAAGTTCACCTTTTCTCTTCTTTTTGTTTTGTTTGGTCACTCAGCAGATTGGATGATCCCCACCCATAGTGGTGACATGGATCTTCTTTACTCAGTTTACCTACTCAAATGCTGACCTCTTCCAGAAACACTCTCACAGACACCAGAAATAATGTTTTACCAGCTATCTAGGCATCTCTTAGCCTAGTTAAGTTGACACATAAAAATAGGCATCACACTGGAAATCACCTGGATCTGTAGATAAAAATAAGTTCACAATACGGAGTGGAGTAAGTTCAAGCCAGGACCATTGCAAGGACTGAGATCCAATTAAGAATTTGGTGTGAGTGCCAATGGGCTGTTAAACAGCCTTTTTGAAGTGGTAACTTGGGAACTATTCCTGATCATAAAAATAGAGATATGGAGAGGAACTGGGGAGGAGTGAGAGGTTATCAGGGTCACCTCACAAAGCTCTTTCTGATACCTCACATCTGAATGAGGTTCTTCTGACTGCACTTCTTGGTACTTGGCTTGTCTTAGGACCTGTGGTAAGGATCTGTGTTTCCCCTCTCCCCATATCCTCTAAGCTCTAGAGGTCCATCCAGACTATGCATTTATTCTGCAGTTTCTAGTGCATTGTTTTACAAAGTACAAGTCTGAAATAAACAAATGAAATTAATTAAAATATAAATGGCCTGAATGATAAATATTTACACATCTTGGGGTTGTGTTTTATTTCATGTAGTGCTTATCAGACCTGTCTTTGGCTATTTAAATCACTTGTTTGGGGTACAGTGAAAATAACACCAAGGTCACAAGTTCAGTTCTTGTGTGAGTAGCTTGCCAAGCTCTATTTTATGGCCGAAGGGTCCATTGGCCATCTGTCCAGAAACTGCAGTTGAAAATGCATGGCACTGGGCACCAGAGGATGAGAAAAGATATGGGGGAATCAGAAGAACCCCATCAGGTCTGATGATAAAACAACTCAGAGTCATTGACTTACAATCAGAAAGTCTCCTCTCAGAGGGTCCTGTTGTTTCCTTGAGGAATTCGATTTTAAAAATTACAATATTATACTTTTAGAAGTCCAGAAATGAATGAGCCACAGTTAATATTGGGCAGCACAACGGAAAAAGTGGGGGAAATTGTCACTGGAAGATCAAGGCTTGAATCTTATGTATGCCACCTACGGCTAATGTAATCTCTTGGATGAATATTGCATCTTTCTGAGCCCCAGCGTTAGCATTGTAAAAACTTTATTCATGGGATTGTTGTGAGTATTATAGGAGGCAGTATGAATGCTGCAAATAAATGCTTAGTAAATGTTAGATATTAGTGATAATTTAGAGTTGCAGCTAGGCTGACAGAAAAGGGCTGACTACAAATGAGAATAGCAGGGATCTAAGAATCAGATTATCATAGCTGTCAAGAATCTCAGCGCTAAATCCAATCCTGAATTTCACTGATAAGAAACTAAAGAATCAAAAGTTTAAGTGCCTTGCTTGGTAGTCACAGAGCTGAGACTACAGCCTCCATTTCCATGTTCAATCTCATTGCCCCTTCAAGCTTAGCAATACGAAGCAGTCGGAATCCTAACAGGGAATGTAATATTTAAAACTGGCTTCTGCTAAATGTGAAAAACTTTTAGCAGAACTTGATTATTTAATTCAAATAATATTTATTGAATGTTTACCAAATGTGTGGCACTAACCTAGGTCCTGGAATGTTTGGGATATGTCAAGGTAAATATAAAATAGGCCCTGCTCTCATAAAGACAATTTTCTAGAGAAAGATGACCAAGTTTTAAAAAATGAATGCAATTTAATGCAGTAAAAGCCCAAGGAAGGGGGGCTGCACAGTAAAATAAGTCCTGGAGTTTTCCAGGAAGAGATGATACCTGAGCTACATCTTCAGAGCAGCTATACTGTGCTATACCTTATTCCTTCTATATTTGTCCTTAGAAATGCATTTAAAACCATACTTTAAGAAAAATTTACCAGAATTCTACTCACTGTTTTATTTACATGTATGGTTTCTTTATGGTCATTTGGTGGTAGAATGTGGACTTGAGATTCAAACAAAGCAGTCTTAAGTTTAGTTGGGTGGCTTTTTGACACCTTGAATTGCTTGGTAATAGCAAAATTCTTACCTCTAGGGATTTTGCAGGGTAGATATCCAGATGCCTCAGCTCTGCATGTCTCAACAGATTTTCCAATGAAAAGCTACGGGACCATATTTTTCTTCAGTGTTTATATTATTCTCACTCTTGAAAGGAAAGGGGGAATTTACAACCACCTTTTCTCAGTATGTATGCCCCAGCTTCTACTGGGTTGTATTGTCTTGTATCCACTTGTAATAAGAAAGACCTCCTTCATTCAGGAAAAACTGTCAGAATGATTGTTCCTTTCCACTTGTTTAGGGGAGCCCATGGTTAGATAATATTTTGATTAGTTGAAGAATAACTGTACTCTGTTGTGTTAACTTTTGAAAGGATAGTGTTAACAAACTTGTTGAATATTTCCTCAGCATTATTTTGTGTATGCTACTTTTTTGTGTGATCTAATACCATTTATTAAGTAGCTTTGATTGATTGATACACTTTTCGATCAAAGGAGTTACCCTTTTGTCTTTAAACACTACAAAAATTAAAACTGACCAAAATAATTTGATGGACATCCTGAGTACTCATATTCCATAAACAAGAATGTGTATTGTACATATTAAGGTTACCATGAATTGATTCAAATTTTTAAAAGGGTAAATTTATAATTTTTTTAAATTAAATAAAGCTCCTAACCATGAATACAGGCAATGTCCTGGGTAAAACAAGATGATAGTACTAAAAAGATTCTTGCTTGTTTTTTTTTTTTTTTTTTGAAAGCGCTGGGTGGCGAGGTAAGAATGTTCTTTATATGATCAATAGCCCTGCTTTTAAAAATAGAAATAAATCCCCCCCATCCCCACTCAAAAGAAGGGCCACCATCTTCAATTTCTGTAACCAAATTGAGCAGGTATCATGGTTTTGCAGCTTTACATTAGGTTAATGTGAAGGCTGTGTTCATTTCACTTACTGTATAATTAGCATTTGAGTCCAAATCCCAGAGTGCTTGCGACAGGGATTTTCTTAAGGCTACTCTCTGTTCTTCTCAAAATGGTCTTCTTATTTCTTGTGTTTCTAAAATCAGAAAAGTGAGTATAAACAAACAATAGATGACCTTTATGAGTAAAACATCCGAGCATAGAAAGATTAATCAACCCCCATCAACCAGTCATTAAATCAAATAGGAGATTTTCTTGTACTTTTAAACCTCCGATTTACAGTCAGGCAAATTGTGTAAAAAGGCTGATAATACAGTGACGCCCAATGCCACTGGGCTTTAGAAAGCTGACAGTTCCTGTAAAATAGTCATTAAACAACCTCTAGAAGAGACTCATCAGCAGATGCCCCCAGGTGAAGGAGAGAGAAAGCTGAGAGAATGAAGGGGAATCTAACATCTTAGCATGACTGAATTAAACAGAGCATATTATGCTGATTTTCAGAGTCAGCCCAGTAATTTAATTTTCAGAGCAGTTCCTTTGATTGTAGCAACCATTTTATGAAACATTAATAAAACTTTGTGTGTGTGTGTGTGTAACACACATCTCTTTCCCATTTTATTAAGAAAAAGGAGTCAACATATTCAAATTTGCTGACCATTAGTTCTGTAAATGCCAAAAATAAAAGATTGTTGTCATTATTTTTGAAAAAGCAAAGGAACAGAATAACATAGCTCCCACTGTATTATTCCACAGTAAGCACAAAACAGGAAAAGAAAATAAAGTATATAAAGTTATTACATGTTAGTCTATGGGATTTTACATTAAGACTCTGAGCTAAATCAGTACTATAATATATAATCCAAATATAATTCTGTACTGCCCATGTAATGATGTCTACTATGCATCCAAATTAATTGTTGTAGAATATACATTGTCCTGTATACTGTTTATCAGATTTATATGGCAAATAGATATTTCTGGATCAAGATACTCACTGGATACTTGTTTTAAATGGTTTTCATTACACATTTTGAATAAAACAGAAGATTCACAGGTATGAATGTTTTAAACAAGGAAAAGACCTTTAAAAAATTAACACAGATGTGCCTCACTTTACAGAAAATGTGCATTCTTGAAATGCCCATCATAAAACTATTTTTTCTGCAAGTTAACTTATATTTTCTAATTTATTTCTATCATAAAACTGAAGATTCACTCTCACTGAAGTAATTTTTGGCCCAAAGACAATAATCACATTTAAGAATGAATCAATCCTTTTAAATCGGTGGTAAATTTTATATTCAAATCTAGCAATTATCCTTAGCTTGAGTATTTTCGTTCTGATTCTCTCTTCTCTTTTCATTATTTAATATTTATTATTTTACCCCTATTGTTACATGTCTTGTATTTCCCTCTTTAAAAATAATAAGCATATAAATAAATATGCATATGTAAATAAATAAATCAGAATGATCTTTTGAAGCAACACATACAT
Source organism: Homo sapiens (assembly GCF_000001405.40). NCBI lineage: Eukaryota > Metazoa > Chordata > Mammalia > Primates > Hominidae > Homo > Homo sapiens. The sequence goes on along the minus strand of NC_000006.12, from coordinate 98,273,804 downwards.
AAAAATAAGATTTTTGTTAGTAAATAGTAAAAATAAGCGCACAAGGTCAGTCACAGCAAGGATGTGGGAAATGTCACAGGTACAGCAGCTATGGAGGACATTAGGCCCCAGAGACCTGCAGATGCTACGGGTGACTCATTGCAGACCTCACTGGGTCACTTGGCCTCTCGGAGACTTGGTTTCTTCATCCTTAAAATGATGAGGCCACACTAGAGGGTCGTTAAGGTTTCTTCATCATGATAGCTTCGTGATCCTGACAAGGGTGTTCTCTCTATGTTGGCATGGTTAGTACTTTATATAATTCTTGATGTGCTTATGAGTAATAATGTCTGTGTTAAACTTTTGTCAGTCTTTCCTTATAGCAAAATGGACATCATTAAAAGGTCATAGCCACATGTTATTAAATCCAAGAAGGCCATGTTCCTAATAGTGTATATGTGTTTAATAGATTATTTCTATATTTCATTTTCATTTTTTTGTACTGAAGGGTTTTTCCAGCTCTTCTGTTAAATTTTAAAATACCTATAGTTATTTCCATCCCATGTTCACAGTTTGGACCTTGATATTTGTTTCTATATTTGACACTCAAAATAATATCCAGTTAGCAAGCACAGAACTCAAATTCTCTTGGATATTACTGTTATATATAAAAGTCTGCAAAGGATTGTCAGAATTTGCTTCATCTCATTACACCAAACATGCTAATTAACTCTTTAAGTTCTATATTCTTACAAAATGAATAACCTGTTGGTAAAATCATAAAGATTCACATTTAAGCCTATACCTTAGGCACTTACTAAACACCAATTGTAAAATACCCATAAGATTAAGCATCACATATTCAGAGAAAAGGGAAATGAAAGTCAGTTGTTTAACAGACTTTCATCTGCAAGAGATTTTATTAGGAGCTTCTTTGCTATGTGCCAAGATATGAATGCCTGAATATAATTCAATTTTATACAAAAGAAAATTCCATTCAAATCTAAAGATAGAATATTTCTATTTCAAGTTACTTTTCACTAAAATACTGAAAAGAATTGAAACATAGCCATCCAAAATCCTAAATGTATAGAAGAAGTCTTCAAACAGTTGAAAAATAACTTTTGCAAATTTCTGGTACTGTGGTTGCCAGCAGAATAAGGCCAACTGTTCAGCTGGGTTAAGGTTAATTCCATGGTGTGTGGTAGGAATATGGTCAACTTACACATCAGAAGCAAACCTGGAGATTGCGTCTGGTCATTTTCCTGTATTTCTTTTAAAAGGGAAGCATAGTGTAGAAGCTCAAATGCCAGTCCTAAGTTACAAGATCTACTGGGCTACACTTTTTGCAACAGTTTAATCTCCATTGTTAGTCCCATGAAGAACAGCCCTGCCTTCTGTATTTTCTTACAGGGCTGCTTTTGATGGAGAACTTTGTGGATGTTTGTGATATTGCTCAGAGCCCATTGGCAGATGAGCATCTCTTGCTGTGGCCTCCATCATTATTTGCCTGTCTTGTCTATTAACGAGCACTATCATCCCATCGTGGGATGACAGCTGCAACACGTACTCAGGCGCAATAAACAGCTAAATGAGGCGCACAGCAATTTCACTTGTCACCAGCGCCCTCGGCACGACTGGCTGCACAGCTTGATGCATAAATTCATGAGGCTGTTGCATATGATGGAGTATGCTTGGCTGAAAGAGGTGATGGATAGCAGGGCAGCTAAAAATGGCCATCACCTTGACTCTGTCAGGACATTTTTTAAAACTACCCCATCAGCTTTCTTGTATTCAATGCACTATCATAGCACAGAAGACTCTAAGGTACCGATTTGATACTTTTCTTCAAAAAAGACTTCTTGAGAGTTTCTTTAAAAGGAAGTACCGTTATTAAGGTAGGTTACATTTATTCATCATTAGCTCTGATGCCGCTAGATTAAGTTATGTTTAAGAGTAGAATTTACTACTGCATACAAATCTTATAAATCAATTCAAGTCTTAATAATGGGGGAAAACAACAGGAGTTTAAAAACATTTCTAAATTATACATTAAGGCTGTGGATTGGTTAATATGAAATTTGAAGAATTAGAAAATATGGCATAGAATATTCAAACACATAGATTTGAGAGATAGAACTTCTATACAACTCATTAGAAAATTAAATAATATTCTGGGGCACATCTTTACATCAGTGTTGTTAGTGCACTTTCTAATCAGTATGCAAACACAAGCAAGGACTACTACTATGTAAAAGTGCCCACATCAAAGAAGCAGTGTTTTGGAGACCTTAACAAGAACCAACAATATAATGCATTCATTTCTCCAAAAATATCTCTTTAAACTCTTTTTCACTCAGCTGCCTGAACTCAAGCCAGAACTCCAACTTCCATAGGCGGGGCCCTGGGTGTCCCACTGAAACGGGCTATACATCCTTTATCTATGTTAGTGGAAGTCATCTAAGGAAGACAAATATAAAGGCAACAAAATCAATGAGGCAGTTTCCTGCAAAGCTTTATGCATTAATCTCTATCACACAGAGATATATATGCACACCAGTGCAAGGGAAGGAAGTCACTTGTTCTCTAATAAAAGAGAAAACCCTTGATAATAAGCAATTAATAAAGTTGTCATGATTAGTTATGCAACTATGAATCAACATGCACAGTAAAAATGACCACTTTCTATAGATATAAAATATCTATGATTCAATCTAGTGAAAATAGTCATTAATACGGGTGGTTATGGATGATTCTTACAGCTACTTTCCTTGTCTTTTTTTGTAATAAAATAGGAACTCCAGAATAAGTGTTACTGTAACAATTCAGATAGGAACTTTCTAGACCAGAGGGCAAATTCATTAGCCATTTCTTTTTTGTTCTTACCTACCTCTTTCCAAACTCATGTTTCTCAAACTCATATATCCTAAATCCCCTACATCTAGCAAAAGTATTTTAAAAGATAGTTAGAAAAAGTTGAAATCTGTAGGAGTAAATTGTATTAGTAATATGAATTCAATGTGCCATACCAAATGATGAAAAGAAATTCTCAAATAAACAGGAGAAAACTACTTTTGAATTATTTGGAAGTCAGGGGCCTTTTAAGGAGACAATTACTTGGCAAGATATCCAGTGATAACCTTACAACACTGTTCCAATATATAATCACCTGATTAGTCCAGGGACTAGGTGGATCTGATGTAGTAAAGGAGGCATGGACCATGGCCACTGGTAGGAAGAAGCAGACGGAGAAGAGAAACTTTGAAAAAATGGGGAAGATAAAGATGATTCTCTATCAATAAGACAAGAATTACAGGACACTGTGAATAACAAGCGTAATAATAAGAACATGCACTTGGTAGCTACATAATGCCAAATATTAAGGGGAATAGAAGGAGGTAAATGAGGCACTCAACTCTGGTAAAATATGTAAGGAGTGCCAAAAATTGAGTATTCAGGATAAATAATATTTTCATGTAATATATTTGCAATAAACTCTGCTTTTAAAAGCTCATGTTATTATCAACTGTGCCATATAACATAACATAATCATGAGAATGACATCTCAGAATATTCACAGGTTCTTGGGAGTAAGCAAGGACATCTTTGGGGGCTGCTTTAGAAATTCGGCCTACTACAATGATGAACAAAACATCAAAATTTTAAATGAAGATAGCATTAAAAATGGAAATTAGGGCCAAGGCGCGGTGGTTCACGCCTGTAATCCCAGCACTTTGGGAGGCCGAAGCGGGCGGATCACGGGGTCAGGAGATTGAGATCATCCTAACTAAGAGGGTGAAACCCCATCTCTACTAAAAACACAGAAAATTAGCCGAGTGTGGTGGCGGGTGCCTGTAGTCTGGGAGGCTGAGGCAGGAGAATCGTCTGAACCCAGGAAGCGGAGGTTGCTGTGAGTTGAGATCATACCACTGCACTCCAGCCTGGGTGACAGAGCGAGACCCTGTCTCAAAAAAAAAATAATAATAATAATACAAAACATTTATGATTTATTTGTTTCATTGTAGCATAAAAATTGCTACAGATTTAGTGGCTTAAAGCAACACTCATCTATTATCTCAAAGTTTGTGTAGGTCAGACGTCCATGATGATATGGCTGGGTCTGCTCAGGATCTTATAAGGTGAAATTAAGTCGTAGCTTACAGTTGCCTTCCAAACTCATTCCTGTTCACAATATAATCTGTGGTTGTAGGACAGAAGTACCTATTTCCTTGCCTACTGATCACTCTCATCCTATGTGGCTGCTCTGCACTCCTTGCCTATGGCTTCCTCCTTCTTCAAAGGCAGCCACAGCACATTAAATTCTTCCCACACTTTGAATCTTCTTGACTCCTGCTTTACTCTTCTGTCATCAGCCAGAGAAAGCTCTCTGATTTTAAAAGCTCATATGATTACCAACTTTGCCATATAACATGAAATAATAATGAGAATTACATATCAGAATATTCACAAGTTCTGGGGAGTAAGCAAGGACATCTTTGGGGGGCTGCTTTAGAAATTCTGCCTACTACATGATGAACAAAACATCAAAATTTTAAATGAAGATAGTATTTAACCCTTCACTTGCAGGAATGACTCTGGCTCATTTGCCTTACCCTTGCCCCGACGATGTTTTTGATAAAACTTGTTTTTCCACAAAACCAGATGGCTAACCTATGCATCATAATTTAATAATATGATGTTTAAATATTACATTAAAATATTATTTACATTACTGGTACCATCTCCTTACATTTTGCACCCTGTTTTGAGTGTTTCCATTACTTCATACTAGTCTCATCTGTATCTTCTCATTTACTGATATCTACAATCTTGTAAGGTGGGCATGAGCAGTTTCTATTGCAAATAGGGATAACAGAGAAAGTAAGTAATTTTTCCATATTCATATAAGTATTAGAAGACAGAGCTGGGATCCTACCTCAGATCTACCTGACTCTAGAGAACATGCGACTGTCAATACATCAAGGTAGTTATTAAAACACTGCTATGGCTTGAATATGTGTCCCCTCCAAAAGTCATATTGAAATTTAATTGCCAATGTAATAGTATTGAGAGGTGGGGCCTTTAAGAGGTGATTAAGTCATGAAGGCTCCACCCTCATGGATGCGATTAATACCTTAAAAAATAGTTTTCCGGAGTGAGCACTCTCTCTTGGCTCTTCTGATCTTCTGCCATGTGAGGAACCTTGTTCCTCTTTTCTGGGAAATACAGCATTTAAATGTGCCATCTTGGGAGTGGAGACTGGGCCTATGTTAGACACCAAGCCTGCCAGAAATTTGATCTGGGACTTCTCAGCCTTCAGAACTGTGAGTCCAATAAATTTCTGTTCATTATAAATCCCTAGTCTGTGATCTTCTGTTATAGCAGCACAAACGAACTAAGAGAGAAGGGTTGACAAGTAGAGGCTAATGTTTCCTTGCAGAGACTATGTCTGAAACATGGAATCATGGAAATACCCTGAATTTAGATTCAGAAGGCTCTTATCCAGTGCTCCCACACTATTGATTTAAGCATTTAAGCATCAGGTAGAGATGATAAGAGCCATCTTTGACCATTTTTGTACGGAGTAAATGACTAGATCACAAATTATTCAAGGTCAGGGACATCTTTGATTTTGTGTATAGCTAGCACACAATAGTTTTGTGAATGAATTAATGTTGAAGGAATGAATTAAATAAAACAATATAAAGCTCTAATCTCTATGACCTATGACATGCCGTACAAGTATGATATGCCTTCTACAGAAATACTAGGTATTTCAGTTAGTAAAATTTCTAATTTCTAAGATGTTTCTACAGTTGGCTCATGTGATTAGTTTCCTCAGTATAGTAATTAGTGGAGACCAAAGGCCTAGACTGTAATATTAAACAAACGCAGTGGTCTAAGGTTAGCTTTCTGTCCTCTCTAAATTAATGTCACAAATCTGAGCAATGTAGTGACTAGAAACACTTAATGGATACATATACGTATGGCTAAGCTAAAAGCCCAGATTTCACCACTACACAATATATCCATGTAACAAGACAGCACTTGTACCTCTTAAATTTACACAAATTATAAAAAAGTAAGCCAACAAAGTTCTCTGTGACAAAGTAACTTTATTTATTTATTGGAGCTCATGGTCTGCTGCACTATATTCACTGGATAGAAAGCAACCACCAACTATCCAGTTAGTTCAGTTGAAAGAAAGAAGAAAGAGAAAGGCAGGTGGTGTGGGAAATAGAAAAAGAAGGAAGAAATGAAGGAAGGAAGGAAGGAAGGAAAGAAGGAAGGAAGGAAGGAAGGAAGGAAGGAAGGAAGGAAGGAAGGAAGGAAGGAAGGAGAGAATCTTTCATGGCTAACTCAGAAAATTAGGTAACAGGATATTTCAAAATATACTTACCTATATTCTTAACCAACTTTGTAATTTAGACTTTAGAAACATTTGCATTCATTAAATGTCTCCAGAACATTTTTAAATTGATGAAGTATGTTTTCTTGTTTTGAAAAAAAAAAGTGACAATTTAACCTAAATGAACATCAGCCAAAGCAGAGTGCAAATGTTGGAAAAGAATCAGGATCTCTGAGCGCATTTTGTACACAACTCTCTTGGCTAAGGTAGGGCTCAGCACTAGCATGCTGCAGATGATATATTGGAACTGTACTTGGCTCTTTATGAATTTGGCTGATTTCTGGCTGCCCAGAAACCCTTTCTTCCTGTGAATTGCCTTTAAATTCCAGAGAAAACCCAAATAGTTATTTTTTAGAGCAAAATTATTCCAACGCAATTCATTTCTAATATCTTTATTCTGCCCTTTTCTGTTTGTCTGTCTCTGTGTGTATCCACATATTTTCAATCTATTTAAAATATGAAAAAATTATATTTCCCTCAAACTTTCATTGATTATGTATTTTTAATCCAAGGGTATGGAAATAATAGATTCAGGATACTAAGACATCCTAAAACATTTATTTCACACACACATATATATTTGCAATATATTTTTCCATTTTCTAATTTTGTTGCCTCTCTCTTCCTCAACATATCAAAAGCAATGTACTATGTGGCAACATTTTTATGTAAGAATAGCACATAGACTATATTTGGGTATTGTTTCTAGGTGTGATGGCTTGAGATAGCACTGCTTTTCCTGTTGATCTTCTCTCTAACTTGACTTTTTAGATAAGTCTGTTATTATCCATTCTCTCGAAGATGCTCTTTTTATTTTTTATTTTTTTAATATTTATTATTTATTTATTTCTTTTTTTGAGACGGAGTCTCACTGTCGTTCAGGCTGGAGTGCAGTGGCGTGATCTTGGCTCATTGCAGCTTCTGCCTCCAGGGTTTAATCAATTCTCCTGCCTCAGCCTCCCGAGCAGCTGGGATTACAGGTGCCTGCCACCACACCTGGCTAATTTTTGTATTTTTAGTACAGACAGGATTTTACCACGTTGGCCAGGTTGGTCTCGAACTTCTGACCTCGTGATTCGCCGTCCTCGGCCTCCCAAAGTGCTGGGATTACAGGTGTGAGCCACCGCACCTAGCCTCTCTTTTTATTATTCTATGTAAGGATAAGTCTTTGTATTTTAGGAGTTATGGAAAAGAGCAGCTCTACCAGAACCTGACCAAGATCCCACTTGAAAGTAACAAAAGGCTAAATAGTTGCCCTAGTCTGCTCCAGGGTGAGAAAGTAAAAAATCTTTATCATAACCTCTTTGATTAGCTTCAACATTATTTCTGTATTACAGATTTAATTATATCAGTCCTTGGCTAAAATAATGCAATGGCTGTTCAGTGTCTTTAGTGTAAGGATATGCTCCTTTCATAGTCTCCAGAACACCTCTGGCCTGGCCCCTGCTCCTGCCCAGCTGCTCCCAAGCCACCCTCTTCACTGCTCTCTACCACATCAATGATTCTTTTCATTTCTACCCATGTGGACTAAATATTTACAGTGATTAACTCAGTTTAACACCCAAAATTCTATGAATTAGATACTAATATCTTAATTTTACAGATGAAGACACAGAGGTGCAAAGAGGCTAAAATAACTTGCCAAGGACCTAGAGGTAAGAAGTCACAGAGCTAGGATCTTGACTCATAGCACACCTTTTAAATACTCTTTGAAATCTCTAAAAATAGAAAAATCTATTTTGTTTTTGTTTTGTTTGGTCTTACAACTTAGTAAAGCAACTTTGGACAAACAAGAAAAATTAACCACTTTTCATGTAGCTTATGTCAATGTATCAGCATTTCAAAACATTCTCTAAGAACTCATTTCTCCCCACCTCAATCTAGTTTGGTATGCATTTCAGTGTAAATACCTCCCAATGGTTTATAGGCCAATCCTTCAAATATTTACAATGAATTTGACATCCTATGAACATGTATATTATCAAATTATTCATTCGTTTATAAAATAAATTTGAGACTTGATGACCTTGATTACTTTATACAGTAAATGAAAAGATCTCCTTCTAAAGAGCTATTTTGACCAGAGATGGCTCTTCCAACTAGATAGGAAAACAAAACTCAAATTGGTTTATCACTACAATATTATAGCAGTAAATGACAATTAGTGAGTTATTACAAGGAAGAAAAAGTATTAACGTCTCTCCCCTCCCCAATGACAATGATATTGGATGATGTTAATGAGTTCTTTACTATTCTCTGGTAGGGAGCATTTTTATGAAAGGTACTTGGACTTTGAAATTTACAAACCTGAGTTCAAACTCTTACTTTACTTGTAAGGAGCTATGTGCCCTTGAGCAAGTTAAACTTTTAAAACCCCAAATTCCTCATATATATAATTGGTGATTATACCGGTCTTGTAGGTTTCAAAGATTAAATCAAAGTATATAATATAATATAACAATATTTTTATATAAAAATATAAAAGTCATATAAAAGATAATATAGCAATGCTATATTTTTAATATGATGTATAGTAATGACATACAGTAATGGCTGTAAATACAATATTTTTTCAAATTTTTCAATCTCTGCTCTAAAATTGATAGTTCAAAATACGTTGATAATAGGCATTTTTTTAAAATAAACGTACTTTAGTCTTTAATATTGCTGCCAGTGATACTGACAATACAAAATAAGAAGTGATACCTTGGGGTTGAGATGGCTAAGTTAAAGGAGCACTCTTATCATTTTTTTTCAAGACATATATTTGTCCTTACATAATAGAACTGGCCAACTGGGATCCTAGTTTGATGAAGATGATGGAAATAAAATATCTAAAGTTTCATGAAAATAAATTTATGGATACAAAGGTGAATTTTATTTATTACATAGAATATTTTCAAATATATGGACACTTGATAACATAGGTCAAAATGTCTTCATTTAGGGATAGTATTTGGTACTTACACAAATATTTTGACACTATTTGACATATAAAAATATCCAAAAATGAAAAAATTCAAAATTCTGTATTTATATACATATAAATCTGGAAGCATGGTGCTATTGACTGAATATTTGTATCTATTATACATATTCTATTCTAATAATATTCATATTCTAACCCTAATTCGATGGTATGAGGAGATGGGATCTTTGGGAGATAAAATGACGTGAGGATGGAGCCCTCATGAATAGGATTAGTGTCCTTATAAAAGGGACACCACAGAGCTTCCTCAGTCCTTCTGCTATGTGAGGACACAGTGAGAAGATGGCAGTCTATACAACAGAAATTGGGCCTTCACCAGACACTTAATTTGCCAATGCCTTCATCTTGGACTTACCAGCCTCCAGAACAGTGAGAAATAAATTTCTGGTGCTTACAAGCCATCCAGTCTGTGGTAGTTTATTATAGCAGCCCAAAGAGACAAAGACAGAAATGATTATCTGGAAGATGAGTTTAAAGGTTAATAATCTATAAAAAAATGAGTAAATAATTAAAACTTCAATTATTCCAGCATCTACCACAGTACTTAACATATTTCAAATGATTAGTGAGTGATGCATAACCCATGAATGAGGGAATAAAAGAATTCATTTACAATGATATCCCATTCTTTTTGTACATACTTCTCTCCCCTCTCCCTGTGGTGACAGGATTTTGTAATTCAGAACTCAGAAGGCAGAAATTCTATCAAGCAATACAGTTTATTATTGTTTATGTCACTAGGTACACAACAGAGCTGCTGAGAAAGTCGTAGATTCAAATCCTAAGCCATAATTACGTATGAAGTGAAAATTCCCTCTAACTCAGTTAGTGGCATTATACAATGCCTTACTCACCCATTCTGAAGATCTAAATTAGCATCTACTGTTGTTTCTCATGATCAGTCTTTAAAAAAAAAATCTAGGAGAGTTGCTATTCAACTATACTGTATCAAAGCCACATCTTTTCTATTCCTCATCTACCACCTAGGCTCACCTATCCTTCACCCAGCCTGACCTATCCTTCACATTTCTGCCAGTTACATTGCCTTGTTCGACAGTTCTGGGTTGTTTCTTTTTACAAATATTTGTATTCTTCAAACTCTGTGTCACAGTTTCTCAGTCTTTCCATTAGCCTCAGAGTCTTCTGGGTGAGGAGACTCGGAAGAAAGATTAAAGAGATTCTGGTGGGCAGGACCTAAGGCTTCTAACCTGCTTCAGAGAGGCACTCTATTCATCTGTTCCATAGATAAGGCCTCTGTGTAATATTTTATTTGACAAAAGTCTAAAAAATGCTTGAAAACAACTGATTTCTATATGGTCTAAACTCCTGTTAATATCCTAGTCATAGCTTTTCTCCAATAAATGACAATGCACCTGTCCAGATTGGTCTTACATTCATACTTCCCTGTGGTTCTTGTTTTAGTCATACCAGGCCACTCATGCTTTTGCCCATGGGTTTCATATCTTCTCTCGGGTATCATTCACTGATACTCTTCACTCTTTAGATCTGCACCCAATCCCCTCTTGTTGAATTCCTACTACTCTTTAAGGATCAGTTCCAGTGCCACCTTTTACTCTCATCCTTAAAATATTATCCTCTGGATCTCTTGAAATCTCAGTTGCTCTTTTTTGAAACTCTACTGTAGCCATTAACATATTTTGCTGTTGTGCTTGAATACATGTCTACTCATTCATGAGACTGCAAGATCTTTGATATCAGAAACCACAATAAATTCCAGTTTCCATATTTCATGTTCATATTTAAACGTTACTACATTTACTATACATTTCTTAGATCAACTTGAATTTTTGAAATAAAATCTGAATGCTATTATACTAAATGCTAAGCATTGTGTTAAATGTTTTTCAAAAAACAAAATTTAAATGAATATGGCTAGAATTGATCTTGTCAATCAAAACTCTTAAATTTGCTAAAAAGGGATCATTACTCCTGATTTTAAAGATGTGGAGACTGAAAGACTAAAAGATTAAATGGTAGTATTATTTTCACTTTGCAAAATGGGTCTAGAGAACCAAAGTGGTACACTTATTTTCTCTACTTAACACACTAGGGAGCCCTTATTTCACCTTAACTTCTTTTTTTACTTTTCCTAAGGATGTTCTTGATAACCTTTACTTAAACTTGGAACATTCTGTCCCTTTTCTCAGTGTGTGAGCACATGATTTTGTGGTGATATAGTCTATATTTGGATAAGCCATACATATTTAGTTCTTTTTAATCTTACTTCACATCAGCCCTGCCAGACCCTCAATCATTTTTGTAGCCCCTCTCTGCATTCACTGTAGTACGATGACATCCTTCTGGAACTGAGGTTTTCATAAATGGACACACTTGTCTGACTCGTGATGTGTTATCTCTGCATGTGCTGCCCAAACAGTTTTTATAAACCACTATATCATTCCATGCAATCTCATACTAATTTTCTGTAACTACCACTCCCAATCTCATGCAACACTACTATTTTCCAAATACAGTAGCTCAATTTCCCTCATTATCTGTGAATATTTCACCCAAGATGCATTACTTTACATTTTCCAAAGCCTAATCTTATTTTGATATTTCTTATTCAAAGCTGTAACCTCTCTATATTCATAAACGTATTTTCAGTTTTATCTAGTGCTTGCAAACCATCCAAATTTTGTGATATTTATAAATTTAATATTTGATTCAGCTACCCTAATTATCAGCCTATAGCAATTAATATATTATATATTATATTAATACACTGCCATTTCCTTTTTATTCCTTCCCTAAAGGAAAATAAATATATATCTTAGGTAGTCTTACAACTCAGCCTATTGTCAGATAGTTTAACCTTGGCTTATACGCTTTCATGTAGATGAGTGACTGACACATCACACATTCCTCGGCCTACTGGGATTAGATTTCTGAGTAGTATTTTAAAATTATATATTAAAATATAACATTAAAATATAAATGCAACCAGGAAATGCATCTTACATTGCATATAAATTATTTTCAATGTTTTCCTGGAGTTTGAAAATTGTTATTCAAGAACGTGTTAGACTTAAATCACTATTCTGGTTAAAAATAAATTAATTGTTCCTTGCATCCCTGTTTACTTAGAAATTATCCCTTTAGTCATCTTAGTTGGAAAGACAAAGCCTCAGAATTTTTTCTACACTTCTTCCTAAAAAATTTCTGCCCACTTAATCCTGCTAAGGAAAGGGGTTCACAGGTGTCCCTTAAGCATGAAATGTCATGATGCTGCTTTATTCTTTGGATCTGGGGTGAGTGGCTGACACAAAGGCAGCTCATATGGAGGACTACAAGGTGGCCTGATGCAAGAATTCTGCCCATATATGAATATGGCAATGTAATATATAGTGGGACTTTTTATATATCTTCAAAAATTATAGAAGCATTGTAACTAAAATTTTCATAGTGGAGGGGTTGAGATATAAAGACTTTGAATGATATGTTCAACTCCACACAAATCAGTTGAAAGGAGACTTTTGCAGCCACCAGGAATTCAGTATTGGTAACTGCAGAAAAGCCCAGAGTTGAACAAATATTGGATTTCTATTGACCCCATAAGTTTCCTCTCTCCTTCTGCATATGCCCTTTAAAGTTAGTTTGATATGCATACACAAAAGCATACAGTGTGGTATAATGGACACTGGAGATTCAGAAGTGAGGAGGATGAGAGTTGGATGAGGGATGAAAAATCATCTATTGGGTACAATGTACACTATTTGGTTGATGGGTACACTAAAAGCCCAGATTTCACTGCTATACAATTCATGTGTGTAACCAAAAACCACTTGTACCCCTAAAGCTCTTCAAATAAATAAATAAATAAATAAATAAATAAATAAATAAATAACATTAAAACTTGGGGCCACTCAAGATTGTAGGTGCCCTTGATTGCTGATGCTGCAAGACTCACTTACCTCCTAGACCTGAATTTCTTTCTAGTCCTCAGAGCATTTCCATTGCTATCTTGTAAGGTCGTACCTTTATTGAAGAGAATGTTATACGTATTTTACCTGGCATTTTTAGATGATTTGTCACGAGAGATTTTCAGGGTATCCAGTTTTCCATCTTTACAGAGAAGACTGCAATTATTTCATGCTTTTATCTCTAGCCCTCACCTGGATTATCGTTGATGACTTTTGCACGTGTACCTCATTTACCAAACCATGCCCAACAGGTAGAAGATGGCAATAAATACTTTTAAGTAATTGAGCAAATCAATTAATTCATTTGACTCATTAGTTGACTAAAATAACATGGATTCATTGCAAACCTCTGACTATTAGATGTAAAGCCTGGTGGAGATATCTTGTAAAGAACAGATGAAGCACAGAAATGGATAGGGCACCTCAGTAATGTTGACACACTGTGTTTGTTCTCACACTGATGTAAAGAAATACCCAAGAATGGATAATTTATAAAGAAAAGAGGTTTAATTGACTCACAGTTCCGCATGGCTGAGGAGGCCTCAGGAAACTTACAATTATGGTGGAAGGCACCTTTTCACAGGGTGGCAAGAGAGAATGAGTGCTAAGCTGATGGTTATAAAACCATCAGATCTCCTGAGAACTCACTCACTATCATAAGAACAGCATGAGGGAAATCAACCCCATGATTCAATTATCTCCACCTGGTCCCGCTCTTGACCTGTGGAGATTATTACCATTCAAGGTGAGATTTGGGTGGTGACACAGAGCCAAACCATATCACCCATGTTGAAGGCTCTTAGCATATCCTGCATCATGGAATCTTTTGCCTATCTGAAGATTCTTCTCCAAGGAAAATGCACATATGTAGAGATTTCATTTGTTATATGATTTCATTAGGTTAATATCCCTTGAAAGCCCATCTCAAAACCCTAAGGGAAGTAAGGCATAGCCATAATTTCCCCAGAAAAGTCTGATTAATTTGTAGCCACTGATAATATTGCCCCTGGATACATGGCCATATCTCTGTTTTCCACAGTCACTTAAAATCTCCTGGCTGTCACTGCAACTTTACTCCCTCCCCAAGACTCTTAGTCATGAGCAGGAATGTCTAAGCATCGCTGCCTGTGTCATGCACCTGAGCACTAGGTTCCAGACAGTTGGAAAAGTATTATTTATGCCTTTTCAGCTTCTGTTGTCAGAGACCCCACCTCCTACTTATTTAGGGGTGTTCTTCTAAGGTGGAAGGTTATATGATTCTGGGTTGGGAAAAATTCCAAATACTCAAAGCACCCCCATTCCTCAAAAACAAAAAGAGAAAACCAAAATTCTTACAAAGTGGAAAAAATTAATCACATTTTACTACTACAAGCCAGGGTTAATATATTTCAATATATATTTTTTCATTTTTCCTGTAATTTATTTTTCTCTTTATTATATCATTAATCTTAGGCTATTTTTAATTTTGTATTCTGCTTCTCTCACTTAGCATCAGTATTACACAATAAACAAAAAGCTACAAACTCTACAACCATAGTTACGCTATATATTTATGTAACTATGTCCGTTTATATATCTGTGTATGCATTTAACTATCAAACAATCTGTCAATTTTTCTGGAACAAAATATACTCTAACTTGATAGCATTTATATCTGGATAGTGTTATTTTAAGTAATTTGGTTTTTAATTGTTATAGACTGTTACAAGGCTTCTTTACAAGAAAAAATGTAGTAAAAGTTTCAAAATGTATCTTATCACTTTCTGTATTCCATATTTTCCATATCATGGTATTCATAACAAAAATTTTTAGCTGTAGCATAATTTCAATTGAGTACTGGAAGGCAATCATATTAGTTATTACCTTTTTATTTACTACAATAAAAATGCATTTTTTTCTGTTTTTGGATTTTTTAGAAAATAAGTTTCATAGATGGAATTATCACCTCAAGTTTGCAAATATTTTGTGGCTCTCAATACACACTGCAAACTGCTTTCCAAAATCTTGTGACCATTGATAATGACATCAACAAAGAATGAAGGATAGTAATTTCATGACCTCCTCAATTCCATTTGGAATAGAATTTAAATTTTTTGATAACCTAATGTAAAAGTGGCAGTTGAGTTTTGTTTCACTTCGCTTGTCCCTGATTACCTGAGCAAGGTTTCATATCTTCTACAGTTATTCACAAACTTATTGCATTACCTTGCATATTCTATTTTGTGATGTTTCTGTTCAGCACATACTCATATTACACATACTTAAGTACAGCATATCATTGAGCACTTCATTTACTTAACAATCAATTCTGTTTACCAGCAGAGAGTCACATATCATGCTCATTTGCAATAAGCATGATGAGCATGATGATATTTTCACTTATTTTAGAATGGGTTTATTTTTCTTAATATGACTATCTTCCCTTTCCTCCTGAACAGGAAAAAGAAGCAAACACATGACCATGCATGTATTAATCAGGGTCCTCTAAAGGGACAGATAGGATAATAGGATATATGTATATATGAAGAGGGATTCATTAGAAGAACTGACTCACATGATCACAAGGTGAAGTCCCACAATAGGCCATCTGCAAGCTGTGGGGGAAGAAGCCTGCCAGAGTCCCCAAACCTCAAACAAAAGTAGGGAAGCTGATAGTGAAGTCTTTGGTTTGTGGCTGAAGGCCTGAGAGCCCCTGGCAAATCACTGGTGTTAAGTCCAATAGTCCAAAAGCTGAAGAGTTTGTAATCTGATGTTTGAGGGTAGGAAGCATCCAGCACAGGAGAAAGACGAAGGCTGGAAGACTCAGCAAGCCTGCTCTTCCATCTTCTTCTGCTTGCTTTGTTCTAGCTGCATTGGCAGCTGATTAGATTGAGCCCACCCAGACTGAGGGTAGGTCTGCATCTCCCAGTCCACTGACTCACATGTTAATCTCCTTTGGCAACACCCTCACAGACACTCCCAGGAACAATACTTTGCATCCTTCAACCCAATCAAGTTGACACTCAGTATTAACCATCAGGACACACAGAAATCAGAACAAAACTGTAGATGAATAAATGATAAAATTTTTTTACACATTAGTCTTTCTTGTCACAACTCTAGCGTATTCTTTCCCCCAGAATCATTTTTTTCCTAATTTTCAAAGAATTTTCTTTCTGTTTGTGTGACTGAAAGCAAGTTTGCTTGCCTGATTATGAAGTATCAGGTGAGTCAATAGGGTTGGCTCCTGGAAAATTTACAGCTTCAGATCAATCATCTGCATTAGTGACAAAGAAAAAACAGTGTCGGGGGGATTTATGGTGAAGAGTTATGATGGCAAATGGATAGATGAGAAAGATGCTTGTGACCACGGAGACTTACACAGACCACAATGAAGAGAACAGAAGAAAAGAAGACTGTGCTTGTTTGCCGTAACAAGAGCAATGAATGAGGATGAGAAGGGTGAAATGAATTAGGATTTGACTGAGTGCCTTCTCTATGCATTCAGAGTGGAGTGCTTGAGTTGTTGATTCACTCTAAACAAATTATTTTATCATTTTTACTCCAAGGACTGTAGGCAGGGGAGGAAATAAGGAAAATGTAGTGATGAGTTGGAAGACACAGATATACAATTTTTGAGTATTCTGGTTACAATCGAACAGCAAATATGAAAAAGTGAGAAAAACTTTTGCATATTATGGAGATGAGAAACTCAGCATGGAATTTTCAGAAATAATGAAGGCTACGATATATGAGCATGCCCACTGAAGATGTTAACGGAGCACTGAGAAATGCAGGACTGGAAGAGGAGACAGGAATGAAGATACAGACTGATGAATTATCTGCACAGGGAAGGGAGTCAAAGGTATCGCAGAAGAGCAGCTCTTTAAGCATGAAAAAGATATATATTTATCTCCCCAAGTGTTACAGGACACATAAAGTTGTTGTGAGAAAGAACAGGAGCCATCAAAAAGAATTCATATATTCAGGCAACAATATTTATTGAAAGGGCATTTTGTAATATGTGTAATTAGGTATATACATAGAAAGATGAAGAAGGTATATCTCTGCTCTTGTGGAGTTAAGAAAAATTTTAAAATTTTGTCTAAAGAAGGTTTGGGAAATAAAATAAAAAAACGAAAAACAGTTTCACCCAGGCATATTTTACAAATATTTTCAAGAAAGTAAAACAAATATTTTATGTTTTATTTGCCTTGAAACCCTGAAATGACAACTAAACGGCAAAGAGCTATAATTTTGCTTTGTGCTGAAGTTCCATAAAATCACTGAGTTTTTATGTAAATTGGCATATGGTGTGTTTTCACTGTAAATATAATAATGTATATTTTAGAAATGTTGGAAATTACTGAAAGATAGAAAAAAAGATGAACAAGACTATCCATAATCTCATCATTTTAGGGAATTTCTTGAATGCCTTTTCACTATTTTATCCATGCATATTATTTGTTTTTTGGGGTTTTTAAATACTTATTTCATCATAGAGATAGTCATATGTACAAAAATATGGTTGCATCTTTTTTCTCATGCACTTTATAATAATAATGCTTTCTAAATTATTATATTAACTAATTGAATAATTACTTAAATAATGTTGTGATGTGTAGCTTGAAACATTTTAACTAACTTTATTACCATTGGCATTATTCACGTCTGTGGGGATTTTCATTTTAGAGAAATTATCAGAAACCATTCAATCCAAATGTAAAGCTTCACTTATATAACTGCTGCATAATAACCTCAAACTAGAAACAAAACAAACAAAAAATCTCCCAAATCTATAGTTTGGACAGCAATTGGTAGAAACAGGTTAAGACAACTACAAGATAGTCATCTTCACAGCATTTGTAGGCATCCATTGAGCCTAGGTGGGACTCTATACCTATCTTATGGAAAGGCATAAATCAAATGGTACAGGATTTTCCCAGGGTAGTACAGATGAGTACGCATTCAGGAAAAGTTGACTGCATTCAGATATATGATAGAATTTGAATGCCTTGAATGGGAGACCAGCATTCAAGGCATTTAAATCTTATACAGGTGGGGATTTGAAACCTCCAAATCTCATATAGAGGTAAGGGGCAACTCTGCAGCATCACCTTAAATGTTTCTCAGATTGTAATGAAGGATCTTACAGATGATCTTGGATTTGATATTAGACCAAAGGCAATTTCTTAATTTGAGAGCATTTTGCCAATTAGGAGAGAATGGGAATGAGGAAAAGTTTTATTTTGGAATCCCTGAAGGTCCTGGATCATTTATACTTCCTCAAATTTTCCTTAAAAAATGATCAGTTATTTTCTTCTGTTTTCTCTTGTCTCTCCCATTTTAGTCTAGACAGCTGGAAGAAGTCAGCTGCCATCTCCAAGACATTTTTTTTCCTGAAAATTTCCTCATATCATAAATGTCTTTCTACAGATTTCTTATTTTTTCACATTAATCGAGACAACAGTTTTGTCACATTTCCTGCCATTTCATATGAAAGGTCCTCTTTTTTCTGGTGTCCAACAACATTTTCCCCACTTTTTTTGAAGCTCTCACTGACAACCTCCTCTAATCTCTTAAGGCTTTTTCTAACTCTCTCTTTGAAGCCCTTGAGTTTTCACTAGTTGTCCTTGAGACCGTGCAGCTTATACTTGCTGGCTGATCACAAAAGTATTGCGACACATTTTACAACTTTTATTTCGGGAGCACCCTACTTCCAGGTACTAAACTATGTTTCAGTTACCTATTGCTCCATACCATACCACCCTCAAACACAATGGTTTCAAACAAAAACAATCATATATTTTGTTCACAAATGAGCAATTTTGAGCTCAGAAAACAAAGCCCAGCAGGTGCAGATTATCTCTGCTCCCTGTTGTGTCAGGTGAGGTAGATTGACTGGGAGTCAGGGCAGGTTGGTGCTGGGAGTTCAGCCAGGATGTGGACAAGGGTCCTTGTTTCGTCTCTACGTGGACCTCTCTGTGAGCTGCTTGGGCTTTCTCACTATATCCTGGCTGTATTACAGGAACAAGCATCCCCAAGATAATCAGGTGGAAACAGTATTATCTTTTAAAAGCTATCCTTGGGAATCACACAGTGTCACTTCTGCTGTAGTCACAAATCCACCCAAGTTTAAGGAATGGGAGCATAGACCCATGTCAAAGTCACATTGCAAGAAGATTATGTGGGATGGCACGTACAGTTGTGCTCTTTTCAGAAAATAATCTGTCATATACTTGTCAATATTCTTGAGGAAAACTAAAAATTCGCTATTGATGATATTCGGTTTTCCAGTTGGTAATGTAGCAGTGGCAATTTGTACTTGATTGTTTGTTTAAGGTTATGTGTGGTGTTATATATTTGATTTGGGACCTTTTGAGTGGAGGTTGGGTACAGTTGAGGAGAAATTTTTTTTTGTAGAGTATACTCTAAAATAGACTTTGCTATACAAATGGCCAATAGACTAATGAAAAGATGCTCAACCGGACTAATTATTAGGTAAATGCAAATTATTAATAAAACTACAATGAGATATCACCTCACATCTGTTAAAATGGTTATTATCAAAAAGAGAAAAGATAACAAGTGTTGGCAAGGATGTGGAGGGAACGAAACCTTTACACACTGTTGGTGGGGATGTACAGCCATTATAGAAAACATGGAGTTTCCTCAAAAGATGAAAAACAGAACTACTGGATGACCCAGCAATCTTACTACTAGGCATATACCCAGAGGACATGAGATCAGTATGTCAAGGAGATAGTTTCACTCTCATGTTTATTGCAGCATTAATTACAAAAGCCAAGATACAAAATCAACCTAAATGTCTATCAGTAGATCAATGGATATGGAAAATGTGGTATATATACATGATGGAAGGTTGAAGACCTGAGCCACACTATTCAATCTTTAAAAAAGAAGAAAATTCTGTCGTTTGAGACAACAGGGATGAACCTGAAAGACATTATGTTAAGTGAAATAAGCCAAAAGAAGAGAGATGAATACCATATAATCTCACTTATATGTGGAGTGTAAAAAAGTTAAACTCTTAGATACAGAGTAAAATGGTGGTTAGCAGCAGCTGAGAGGTAGAGGAATTGGAGAGATGGCTTGAAGACAAAATTTCAGTTAGCCATCAGAAATAAGTTCAAGAGATCTACTGTACGTCATGCTTCCTATTAGTTAATAACAATGTATTACATGTTTTAAAATTGCTGAAAGAGTAGATTTTGTGTTCTCACTACCAAAATATAAGTATTTAATGTTAAATAATTTGATGTAGCCATTCTACAATGTATATGCATAACAAAATATGCTGTACACCATAAATATATACAATTTTTGTCAATTATAAAATAAATTTTGTCAGAACTGTTGCTTGCTTGCTTGTTCCTGCAGAGAAGGGTGATTTGGGGTGAAGAGGAAGGAGATAAGGAAATGATCTCTTGTGAGTGGCACAGGTTGAAAGTTGCCTACATGTGAAAAAAAGCAGAGCTGAGCACGGACACTGAGGAAATAATTTTGTAGTAGTCAGGTCATGATCCAAGTTGCTAAGGAGCCCAAGTAATTAAATATGGCTGAAATCTTGATAGAGGGGCATTTTTTTCACCTCCATTTAAAACCTACTGATTCTCAGAAGGGTTATAAGAACCTGGAGATCTTCATTTATTTAAACCTTTGACATCGATACTGGCAATCTTTTGACTGGTATATCAACGGTACCACCTGTGAGGCTTCTCCAGCTGGATTAAAGGTTGAAGACCTGAGCCACATACAGTTGTAGCAGAAAAAAATAATATAACAGATGCCACTTAGGGATGGTAGTTAACAGAACTTGTTTGTGAACACATGTTATACGCACTGCTTTGGGGATTCAAGAAATCTTTCCAGGAA